>NC_000002.12:116580527-116883557 GCF_000001405.40 Homo sapiens
ACCCTCCGGGGCATGGCTAGAAGGAATAAAATTAAGGGGAAGAGCCCAGACTCCTCTGTGGAATGTATTGGTCATTACTTTTATGCAATGAAGCTCTTTTATCTGCATTATAAATATCAATTTTTTAAAATAATTGTTCTTGACATCAAAGGACACAATCAATAGACTGGAAAGGTAATCCATGGAATGGGAAAAAATGTTTGCAAATCTTACATCTGATAAGGAGTTAACAGACTATATAAATAACTCTACAACAGCAAAACAAGCTGTTTACAAAATGGGCAAAGGACTTGAATGACATTTGTCCAAAGGAAATATACAAATTGCCAATAAAAACATGAAAAAGACTCTCAGAATAAATCATATGAAATGCAAATCAAAAACACAATGATATATTACCTCACATCCATTAGAATGATGCTATGGTTTTAGTATTTGTACCTTCCAAAACTCATGATGAAACTTAATCCTCATTGCAACAACATTAAGAGGGTGAAAAAACCTGACTATGGCATCTGAGAGGGTGGGAAGTTTGGAATGTAATTAAGATTAGACACCAAAAGCAATGGCAACAAAAGCCAAAATTGACAAATGGGATCTAATTAAACTAAAGAGCTTCTGCACAGCAAAAGAAACTACCATCAGAGTGAACAGGCAACCTACAGAATGGGAGAAAATTTTTGGAATCTACTCATCTGACAAAGGGCTAATATCCAGAATCTACAATGAACTCAAACAAATTTACAAGAAAAAAACAAACAACCCCATCAAAAAGTGGGTGAAGGATATGAACAGACACTTCTCAAAAGAAGACATTTATGCAGCCAAAAGACACGTGAAAAAATGCTCATCATCACTGGCCATCAGAGAAATGCAAATCAAAACCACAATGAGATACCATCTCACACCAGTTAGAATGGCGATCTTTAAAACGTCAGGAAACAACAGGTACTGGAGAGGATGTGGACAAATAGGAACACTTTTACACTGTTGTTGGGACTGTAAACTAGTTCAACCATTGTGGAAGTCAGTGTGGTGATTCCTCAGGGATCTAGAACTAGAAATACCATTTGACCCAGCCATCCCATTACTGGGTATATACCCAAAGGATTATAAATCATGCTGCTATAAAGACACATGCACATGTATGTTTATTGCGGCACTATTCACAATAGCAATGACTTGGAACCAACCCAAATGTCCAACAATGATAGACTGGATTAAGAAAATGTGGCACATACACACCATGGAATACTATGCAGCCATAAAAAAGGATGAGTTCATGTCCTTTGTAGGGACATGGATGAAGCTCGAAACCATCATTCTGAGCAAACTATCGCAAGGACAAAAAACCAAACGCTGCATGTTCTCACTCATAGGTGGGAATTGAACAATGAGAACACATGGACACAGGAAGGGGAACATCACACATCAGGGCCTGTTGTGGGGTGGGGGGAGGGGGGAGGGAGAGCATTAGGAGATATACCTAATGCTAAAAGACGAGTTAACGGGTGCAGCACACCAACATGGCACATGTATACATATGTAACAAACCTGCACATTGTGCACATGTACCCTAAAACTTAAAGTATAATAATAAAAAAAAAGAACTAAAAATAGAACTCCCATTGGATCTAGCAGTCCCGCTACTGGGTATCTCCCCAAAGAAAAATAAATCATTATGTAAAAAAGAAAAAAAAGATTAGATGAGATCATGAGGTCAGAACATTAGTGGTTTTATAAGAAGAGAGAGAGGGGCCTGAGTGAGGAAGCATCACACTATGCAATGGCCTGCAGTGCCTCAGGACCCTGCAGAGAGTCCTCACCAGCAACATGGTCCTCACCAGGTATGTCTTCTCAAGCTTGGATTCCCAGCCTCTGGAAATGTAAGAAATAGATTCTTTTTATTTATAAATTACCCAGTATCAGATATTCAGTTATAGCAACAGGAAGTGAACTAAGTCAGATGGCTTCTGCAGAAATAAAAAAAAAAAAAAAAAGAAAAGAAAATGACCAAAGAAAACGTTGGTTAGGATGAGGAGAAAATTGGATCACTTGTTCTCTTTTAGTGAAATGCAAAGTGGTATAGCCCCTATGAAAAGCAGTATGGCGGTTTCTCAAAAAAAATTCTTAAAAAAAGAATTATCATAAGATCCAACAATTCCACTTACGGATATATATTCAAAACTATTAAAAGTGAAGTGTCAAAGAGATATTTGTGCGCTCATGTTCATAGCATCATTATTCATAATAGCAAAAACGCAGAATCAACCAAAATATCTATTGATGGATGAGTGGGATCAACAAATTGTGGTATACACCTTGCAATGGAATATTATTCAACCTTAAGAAAAAGAAAATTCTGAGACATGCTCTAACACAGATGAACTGTAAGGACGTTATGCTAAGTGATATAAGCCAGGCACACAAAAGACAACTACTACATTATTCTACTACATTTTTCTGCTTACATGAAGTACCTAGAGATTAATAGAGACTGAAAGTAAAATGGCAGGTGCCAAGAGTTATGGGGGGTGGGGAATAGGAAGTTGTGGTTTAATGAGCATAGAGTTTCAGTTTTACAAGATGAGAAAATATGAAGATTGATTGCACGACAATGTGAATGTATTGCTGAACTGTACACTTAAAATGGTTAATATGATTTTTTAAAAAAGCACCTGGTCTGGAACACCAAACAAATTGGAGTTTTTTCTCTAGTCAGTGGACAGTTAGCCTCTAAAGGTATGTAAGAAAACATTTGTAGTTTAGAAATATCCTCTTACCAACATCTAGTGGATGAATAGTTGGGAGACTGGAAGTAACTAGGGATCTATGCAACACAGACGAACTTTGAAAATGTTACGCTAAGTGAAAGAAGTCAGTCACAGAAGAAAACATATTGTTAGAATATATGCCTACCTATATAAAATGTCCAGAGTAGGCAAATTTAAAGAGACAGAAGTATATTAGTGTTTTTCTATGGCTAGGGGTGTGGAGGGGCTGGAGGCAGACAACTAAATGGTAAGGGGTTTCTCTATGGGTGATGAAAATGGCATAAAATTGATAGTAGTGACAAGTCTCATTACTCTGTGAATATATCAAAACCATTGATATATAGGAATCATGTGAATTATATCTCAAGAAAACTCTATCATCTGTCTGTCTATCTATCTATCTATCTATCTATCTATCTATCTATCTATCTAATTGAGCTTTTAGAATTCTTTCACAGGGTTGCATATATTTAACACCATAAAGTCCGAAGCAGGAAGACCTTCTACGAAAGCTTCCACTGGTATGTGTTCTTGAGCCTCCTGAGCCAATAATCAAAGTAATAGGAGACTGATCTTCAATCTTTGTTTTCATCCTGTATCATCGAAATTGGATGCCTCACACTTGCAAAACCTCTCTAGTCTTGGTTTTTCAGGGCACACAGTTCACATCATTGGGGATAGTTTGAAGACTGAGTCTGCATGCAAAAGACTTAGAGCAGAATATGAGAGAAGTGACCATATTTGCACTTAGAAGGTTGTGGTATTTCTGAGAATGAAGAAGTATCAGGTGAAAACTACATGCTGGAGACTACCTGATTCTCTCACTCTTAAGCTACCATTTCCTACACAATAGTGAGGTGAGATTAGGTTGCACAGAGCAGAAGAGGAAGGAATACAGAAGGAAAAAACAGACTGTAAGGCATTATAGCAATATGTACTAAATCAAAATTTATGGAGAGGAATGAATTTTAATAAAAGAAGATATCAATGCTTCTTCTTACAGTAGGAGCCAAGAAAGATAAACCATCATTGATCCTGTAGACCCGGGCTAGTGAAAACTGGAACAATATAATATTGGTGATAAGATTTTGGCTAGAATCCCTTTCATAGTAAAGCTATATTCCAGAGCATACTTGAGACATATCAGGATTTAGAAGCTGGAAACTATCTTGATTTTTTAAGTTGTCATTTGCATCATGATCTCATAGCTTGTAATATATTCTTTCGTAAAAATGTGCACCTTCCAAATGCCTGATACTTTGTGAAGACATTAAGAAGAATAGTTAAACATTGACATTATTAGGTCAATCCAGGAAATTAAAAAAAATCATGGCTGACAAGAATGTAGAATACTGCTCTCCATGAATTAATGAAGAAGAAAAAATAATAATTCTATGCCCTTCTCTAAACTAATAATTCACTTGGCAAGAGCAAGCCTGAAGGGGTTTGGCAGTAAAATTTTTCTCTGAAGATTTATCACAGTCCATTCAAATCAAGATTGAGGTCTCAAGAGAAAAGTGGTGAGAAAGATGTCAAGCGTTTATGATTTGGTTACCATTTGCTTTGCAAGAAAAAGATACATTGTTACCATTATGGACTGAAAATTTTCTATCACAACAAAACAATGGTTTTAAAACTGCAAAGTTCTCCATTCCTCTCTGCACTGATCTAGATTCTTTTTATATCGAATAACCCAAGTCAAGGCTTCATTTCCTATAAAACCTATAAGGGCCGGCCTTAATCGACCTTCATTTTTTTCCAGTACTTCAATATTTGCATATACTATCCAGTATTTGATGTCCACTCTTGTCTAATAATGCCATCTCCATAAGTCTTTGTTTTTCCACCACAAGAGTATTTCTCTTTTGTTTTTAGATGTAGCTCACCTACTATACAAATCAGACCACTACAATCCTGTGAGAGAAAAATGTGTGTGCTCATTTATGTGTAGAGGAAAAGTATGGTGTTGTAATTCTTCACTATTTTTGTGGCACTTCTCCATCTCAATGTCTCCACTAAACAGGTTTTGAACTTTGAGCTTATTAATCATATGTTACACAATGCTAAAATCACCTCTTAAACACAATGACAAATTGATTCCGGTTTTGTTTTTAATCTGCCTACTCTCATGGATAAGGTTTTTCCTTTAAGTTGTTCTCTATTCTGATTTTTCTTACCTGCCACTTAACCTTCCACACCCTGATTCCCAGATGCCAGTATCAAGATTGGGGTACCTCACTGGTCTGTGTGGCAAAAAACATTTTGACCTGTTGCAGGAAAGCTTTTATTTTATTATGTATGTAACTTTCATGCTTCCAGCCATAATTTGGGGCCTATAAAGATAATTTTTAAATATTTTTACTTAATTACATTATCAAAATTTAGCAAAGCATACTGGTAAATCAAACAGTTTGTTTACTGGGCTTCAAAAACAGGTTTAATGGATTATTGTTCTTCTGTGGAGTTGACTGAATATATCAGTGGCCCTAGCCTTCCATAGACAAAAACCTAAACGAACCCTGGTCATTGGTGGATCATTGCCATGGAAAAGACTTCTTTGTCTCTTCAGTACACACAAAGAGCAAGAAAACAACAATGGAGCAATTCTATCCAGGATCACATTTGCTATTATAATTACAGGGTGTCATGACTGCTGCTAGTTTTTAAGCTTCTGAAAGACTAGTTAAAAATAATAAGCATTTCATCAAACTTGATGTATGCCAAGAAGCAAAGTCTTCTTTCTCTGAAGATTGTCTGTTTTCTTTTTCTTTTTGTCACTTTTTAGCAAGCATTTTGTATTACTTAGAGGTAGCTATTGTCATTGTTTGTTTTACACTTACAGACTTGATAATAAAACAAATGCTCACCCAGGTATCCTAGCAACTCAGTTCCTTTTTTTATTTCTCTCTGGTGCTTAAATTAGATGCTCTGAGAGCCTTTTCTCAAGCTATTAAGGGACACATATGGCTAATCTAGAGCAACACACTTCATCTTGGTCGAACTCACTGGAAATCAATATTCATTATCATGGATTATTCACCTCAAAAAAGGACACTATTGGCTCTGAAAGTTATCAGGAGGCTGGAAATAACTACAAAATGGTGATAAAGGAGACACCATGAGGAAAGCAAGGCCACAGATTGGAAAGGAGTGACAGAGGAGTTATGTCTCATTCCCCCACTGGGCTCTGGCTCTCATTGCCCCAGCTGCAATCCCTGGCCTAAGGATGTAGGAGTTACCAGACTTAAATGTAGCTCCAGCTCTGTCATTACCAAAGTGTGATTGTCAGCAGGTCACTTAAGCCCAGGTTTATCTATGATCTAACAAGAAAAGGCAGTGTCAGTGATCTGGAGAGATTGGCTGGCCACCCACCCCGGCATTCTGGGTAACCTCTAAAGTGTTGACTAACAACCCAAGACACAAGGGTTCTTGGTAGACACCCATATACAGAGCAAGACAAAATGAAAATATGAAGACTATAGCTTTGTTTAGGGAAACAGACTTGGGAAAGAAGCTTCTAGAAACACAGAGACGAGCAGAAACAGTCCTAGTCTCCTGGAAGGGAATAGGGTGAGACTGGCTACAGCTGTCATATGAGAGCTGATTATTAAATTTTTAGGAATTTTGCTAGCTGGTCATTAAATCTGCCACTAGTAAAATCTAAATTATATAAATGTACAATAAAAATACATTAGAAACAAAGATAAAAGACAAAATTAATCACTCCTTTATTATTTTATTATATTTCAATAGTATCTATGAATTGGTACTATGTACATGATTGAAATTAGCAAATGCCTCAAATCAGGGTTTTTTTGGAAGAGAGTGGGGAGGGATAACTATACTGGCTTTCAGAACACTTTTCACATACCTTGTGAGACAGTCAAGGTAATCACCATCATCTTACTTTATTATAGATTAAAAAAATTAACGAAGTAAAGTGACTGGCTTGAGTCACATAGTAAATGGCTGCATATAGGTAGGGTACCAAGTCTCCTGATTCCTAGTCCACAAAAATTTTCCTCTGTCACACTTCATCTTAGTCATTTTCTGTTGCTTATAATGGAATATCTGAAATGGGGTAATTTATAAAGAAAATAAATTCATTTCATACAGTTATAAAGACTGAGAAGTCCAAGGCCCAGGGGCTGTATCTGGTGAGGGCCATCTTGCTGATGGGGATTTTCTACAGAGTCATAAAGTGGTACAGGGATCACATAGGAAAAACTGGCAGAATGTGGCTCAAATAACAAACAAACTTATTTTGTTTATTTAGTCATTAGATAGCTCAAGTCTCTCTTCCTCTTCTAATAAAGGCACCAGTTTCTCTCCCATGATAACCCATTAACCCATTCATCCATTAATCATTAATTCATGAATAATCCATTAATGGGAGCAGAGCCCTCATGACCCAATCACCCCTTAACACCTTACCTTTCAATACTGCCACATTGAGGATTAAGTTTCAACATGATCTTTGGAGCAGACAAAGATTCAAACCATAGCATGTTTCACTTATTTTTCTTGTTATAGGAGGCCATAGAGCAAACTTTTGGTGATTTTATGTAGGCTCCTTACCTTGCTTAGCAGAATATTGTGTTACGTCTGTGACACACCTAATTCTCTGTCACTCTTTAAGCCAGGTACTCCACTTGTCTCAAGGGTAATGACATCTTCCCTGCCTTACAGGATTGTTGTGAGAAAGCAGTGAAATGGATAGAAAAGTGTTTTGAAATGAATATAGAGCTGTTAGAATTTTACGGAGTATTTTTTATTAAATTCTTTTAAATTTTGTTATTATCTCCACAATGATAAGAATTAAGCTAGCAGTAAAAGGATACAAACTGTTAGCTGGGACTTAAAAAAGAGACAAGTAAATAGCAGAACATGAATTTTCTGTCCCATTTACTCTCTCTTCAGTTTGTTTAGAATCGCTATATAGGTGCGGGATTTGTGACTCAAGTTAAAAGCAGTGTTAAAGGCAAGATCTCAAACTATAAGAATCTGAGAAGGCAACCTAAAAAATATCATTCTGGACATTGGCCTTGGCAAATAATGTATGATGAAGCCCTAAAGAGCAATTGTGACAAAAACAAAGATTGACAATTGGAACCTAATTAAACTAAACAGCTTCTGCACAGCAAAGGAAACTATCAATAGAGCAAAAAGCCTACAGAATGGGAGCAAGTATTCACAAATTATTCGTCTGACAAAGGGCTAACATCCACAATCTATAAGAAATTTAAACAATTCAACAAGCACAAACCAAATAGCCCCCATTAAAAGATAGACCAAAGACATGAACAAACTTTTCTCAAAAAAAGACATACAAGGGGCCAAGAAACGTGAAAAAACGCTCAAAATCACTAATCGTCAGAGAAATGCAAATCAAAACCACAATGAGATGTCATCTCTCAGCAGTCAGAAAGGCTATTACTAAAAAATCAAAAAACAAGAGATGCAGGTGAGGCTGTGTAGAAAAGAGAACGTTTCTACACTGTTGGTGGGGCTGTAAATTAGTCCAGCCACTGCGGAAAGCAGTTTGGAGATTTATCAGAGAACTTAAAACAGAACTGCCATTTGACCCAATAATCCCATTACTGGGTATATATCCAAAAGAAAATAAATTGTTCTACCAAAAAGATACATTCACTCACATGTTCATCACAGCACTATTCATCATAGCAAAGACATGGAATCAACCTAGGTGCCCATGAATTGTGAACTGGATAAAGAAAATGTACATATACACCACAGTATACTACGCACAGCCATAAAAAAAAAAAAAAAAGAACAAAATCATGTCCTTTGCAGCAACATAGACGCAGGTGAAGGACAGTATTCATTTTTTGTTCTTTTTGTTTGTTTGTTTCTTTTTGAGACGGAGTCTCGCTCTGTCGCCCAGGCTGGAGTGCGGTGGCGCCATCTCGGCTCACTGCAAGCTCCGCCCCCTGGGTTCACTTCAAGCTCCGCCCCCTGGGTTCACGTCAAGCTCCGCCCCCTGGGTTCACGTCAAGCTCCGCCCCCTGGGCTCACTGCAAGCTCCGCCTCCCGGGTTCACGCCATTCTCCTGCCTCAGCCTCCCGAGTAGCTGGGACCACAGGCGCCCGCCACCAGGTCCGGCTAATTCTTTTGTATTTTTTAGTAGAGACGGGGTTTCACCGCGTTAGCCAGGGTGGTCTCGATCTCCTGACCTCATGATCTGCCCGCCTCGGCCTCCCAAAGTGCTGGGATTACAGGCGTGAGCCACCGCGCCCGGCCTGAAAGACATTACTCCAAATGAATTAACACACAACAAAAAAACAAATACTGAATGTTCTCACACGCGGAACTAAGCTTTGGACGCCCATGGACATAAAGATAAAAACAGCATACACTGGAGACTGCTGAGGGGAAATGCGGAAGCGAAAGGGCTGAAAAACTACCTGCTGGGTATTAGGCCCATTACCTGGATGATAGGATCATTTGTACCCCAAACTGAAATGTCATGTAATATGCCCACGTAACAAACCTACACATGTACCCCTGAATCTAAAATAAAAATTGAAATTATAAAAAACAAAAGAAAAAGGGAATAATTTATTACTTTTTATTAAAGGTATACAAGTAATTGAGCAGAAGATTGGGACTGCAAAAGAAAGAAGTAAATAGAAAACTTTTGGCCAATAAAGAACGAAAATATTTCTTAGCAATATAAAGTGTTCTTTGTTGACAGGAGAAAGTCCACACGGATTATGATGTAGTTAAGTTATCTGGGGTTTGTAAAACTCAAAACTGATCTCCGGTAATCTGGGATTCTATAAGAATCAGATTCCCTACATACCTATGAGACAAAATTATACAAGATGTCTGGGTTAACAGACAGGGCTGTTACAAGCAACAGTTGGAAAATGCAAATTCAGGCAGAAAATAATTCTTGAGCCTTAAAACCTTCACAAAATTATGTATTTGAAATTAAGAAGATAACATCTTCTGAGTTTTCCAGTATCAGAGAAACATTTTTAATATTTTCTTATTGAGTTTTTTTTTTTTTTTTTTTTTTTTTTTGAGACCGAGTCTCGCTCTGTCGCCCAGGCTGGAGTGCAGTGGCCTGATCTCGGCTCACTGCAAGCTCCGCCTCCCGGGTTCACGCCATTCTCCTGCCTCAGCCTCCCCAGTAGCTGGGACCACAGGCACCTGCCACCACGCCAGGCTAATTTTTTATATTTTTAGTAGAGACGGGGTTTCACGGCGTTAGCCAGGATGTTCTCGATCTCCTGACCTCCTGATCCACCCACCTCGGCCTCCCAAAGTGCTGGGATTACAGGCGTGAGCCACCGCGCCCGGCCTATTTTCTTACTGAGTTTTATCTTTTCTTGTTTTCTTTCTACTTTGGTGGTACTTTGTAGTGTTTTATGTATATCTAACATGTATATATATATTATATATATATTACATATATATGTATTATATATGTATTATATATATTACATATATATATCAACAACTTGTTCAACAACAACTTGAACACAGAAGCAGATAAAATAATCTACCTATTAAATATCTAAACATTGTTTTTAGAAGCCACTCTTCTTAATACTTTGTTAAAAAGTAATCTTTCTTTTGGCTGGGCACAACGGCTTATGCTTGTAATTCCACTACTTTGGGAAGCCAAGGCTGATTGCTTGCGCTTAGGAGTTGGAGACTAGCCTAGTCAACATGGTCAAACCTTATCTCCACTAAAAATACAAAAATTTAGCCCGACATGGTGGTGAATGCCTGCAGTCCCGGCTACTCAGGAGGCTGAGATGGGAGAATCACATGAGACCCAGAAGTCGAGGCTGCGGTGAGCAATGATCACATCACTGCACTTCAGTCTGGGCAGTGACAGGGAGACCCTGCCCCTCCCTGCCAAAAAAAAGGAATCTTTCATAAGACTATAAGACTATTTTATGTTAATATGAAATGGTTCATTGTTATTTTAATAAACAAATAGACAAATAATAACATTAAAATTAGTGATACCTGTATTTTATACTTAATATTTAAAATGGTAAATGTTGATAGATATAGTCCCCATGATCAGAAACTCTTTGGAGTCTTCAATATTTTTTAAGAATGTAAAGGAGTGCTGAGGCCAAAAAAAAATTTTTTTTAATCTAAAAATTGATTAGTTGATGAAAGAAATGTGGACCTTTTGGTCTTTAATTTCTGTAACTTTAAAATACCATTTATAACAAAGTAAAAACAAGACTTAGTATAATCCCCAATCTACTGTAGTTGGCACTGCAAAGTGGGAGATGTCAGTAGCGTGTTTTATTAAGTTCCTGTCATTCATCGACAAGAGATGAGCAAAGGTTCAGCTTTTTATAATCTAGCCTAATGGACATTAAAACCATCCCTTTTATGCCTCTTTTATGCACACAAACGTGTGTTTGTGGACAAGAAACTGATGAACACTGTTGCAACAGAGGATACACAGATACCAAAGTTGGTTCATGCACATTGACATAAAAATAATGAAAATAGTCCTTTTAATTATAGTTACATAGTGATAATTAGACTGGAGAAGACCTTAACTTTTAGAATCAAGAATCCATTGTCTAGAGAACATTCTGTCAGGCAAGCTGTTTACATTATAGTTTTTACATTAAGTTTTTTTGGTCTAAATATCCTGTGGTTTATACAAATGTCCTCTGTGGATAAGCAGAATGAGAAAAAAACAGAAAACTGAAACCAGACGGGGGCACTGAAAAGACTTGAGTAGAAAAGACAAAGCTCAAGATGAAGAATAGGAGCAAATCAAGTTGGATTGTTAAAGTACATCAAATTGTGATGGCCAATTATACCAGATGCGATCTGTACTTAAAATGTACTTCAAGTAAAAAAGGTGGTGAGGAGTGACCAAAAGTAAAATTTAACTTGGTGATAATACAGATAAAAACACAAAGAGTATTCTAGAGATAGAGATACTATAACAGGAAAACTTCAGTTCATTTTTTTCATTAATGTATATTCAATGACTCTATGGAGATGAATTAAGTGCTAGTCTAGATCCAAGAAATACAAGAGCTAGTCTAGATCCCAGAAATACAAGATTAATACAACATAGACTTTGTCCTTGAGATTCAGGAATTGTATCACATATGCTTATATATTTATAACAATTGATTAAAAGAAAAGATTCCATTAAATCTAAATTGATACAGCTTCAAATAAGATTGTCCACCAAAGGATATTTTCATCAAGAGTGTAAGTGGATGCTGTTGAAAACTTTTTTTCTTTGTATTCTGCCATAGGTTTAGATTTTGGCATCTGACACTTTCTTTCCCTGGAAGACCTTGGAAGAAATTTCTTTGCCTTCAAATAAGAATAATAGAAGTGGCATTCAAAATAATTGTTGCCTTAAGTTTGATTTTGTGACAAAGATAAAAAACTGTGGTTTTATCCCTGTGCTATTAATGGGAACAGTGCTGATACAATCACTCCCTTTTCCTGCCCCACAGTGAGAGTCAGTGTGAAATATCTGTTTAGAAACTGAATTATATTTTATTGATACATTGCAAATGTAAAACATTTCCTCACAAGTACGTTAATAAAAATCCATTCTTTTAAATAAATGAGAATACTCTTTCCCTACTGGATTGAGCCACCTAACAAAAAAATCCCAGTTAAAAAGTTATATTCTGTTTTTGAAATGAAAAATGAAGGCTGGCACCAGAGAACTAATGTCAGTAAATGGAGGCCATGTAAAATATGCTGTAGTTTGAACGTTGGAATAATGAAACCCTCACACACAAGGGGCTTCCAACCACTGAATCTCGCTTTGATCCTGATTATACATTGCCTTCAAGCTTTCATGTGAAGTAGACAGGCAGAGTTTTCAAAATTACACACACACACACACACACACACACACACACACACGGGAGGAAGCCTGAGAACATATCCCCGGGAGCTGCGGTAGAGGGCAGATCGATTATCAAGAAAACCCTTTCCCAAGGAAAGCTCATGTGTAAATAAAAAATTTCCTCTACCTACAACTAGGAGAAGCTCATTAAAATTATGAAGAAATTTGAATGAAGTCCTGGTCTTTGTTTTTATCAGCATCCCTCAATGACCCTTTCCTAAACATGTTTCACACTAAAAAATGACCTCTTCCACCCTCCTGTTGAAATCCCTATAACCTAATGGAACGCACTCCATCCAGTAAGACCATATAAGCCGAGTGGCAAAGTGTTGCAAATGGCTACCTGATATTGTATCTGTACAATTTCCATGTCTAAAAAGGAAATCTTAAATCCAAAGTAATCAATTTATCTTTTCATTTTTGTATTGAGGTGAAACTCATGTAACATAAAACGAACTATTTTCATATGATTAAAGACATGTTATTAAAGACACAAACACCACTTCTATCTAATCCCACATTTTTTTTATCACTCTAAAGGGAAACACCACACCCACTAAGGAGTTGCTCCATATTCTCCCCTCCACCCAGCTCCTGTCAATCACCAATCGACATTCTGTTTCTGTGGGTTTAATTTTCATATATATTTCATATAAATGGAATCATACAATATGTAAACTTTTGTGTTTGGCTTTATTTACTTAGCATAATATTTTTGAGGCTCATCCATTTTTTTGGTATGTATCATTCCTCATTTCTCTTTGTGGCTGTATAATATTCCATTATATCTATGTACCATAATTTACCCATTCATCTATTGAGGGATATATGGGCTCTTTTTATCTTTTGGCCCTTGCAAATAGTTCTGCTATAAATATGTGTGTACAAGTCTTTTTTAATATTAGTTTTTAATTCTTTGGGGTATGATGCTTTGAGGAATTGTACTCCTAAGTGCAGTGTTAATTCTATGTTTAACTTTTGAAGAACGACCAAACTGTTTTCTACACTCTTAAACCACCTTAAATTTCCATTATCAATGTACAAGAGTTCCATTTTCTCAATTTTTTTTTTTTTTGAGATGGAGTCTCATTCTGTCGCCCTGGCTGGAGTGGAGTGGTGTGATCTCAGCTCACCGCAACTTCTGCCTCCTGGGTTCAAGAGATTCTCCTGCCTCAGCCTCCTGAGTAGCTGGAATTATGGGAGCCCACAATCACACCTGGCTAATTTTTTTTATATTTAGTAGAGATGGGGTTTCGCCATGTTGGCTAGGCTGGTCTCAAACTCCTGACCTCAGGTGATCCACCTGCTTTGGCCTCTCAAAGTGCTGGGATTACAGGCATGAGCCACTGTGCCCAGCCCCTTTTTCTGTTTTTTAATTGTAGTCATCACACTGGGTGTGATGTGCTACATACTTGCAATTTTAAATTGCTTTTCTCACATGGCAAATAATGTTGAACACTGTCTCATGTTTTTGGCCATTAGTATATCTTCTTTGAAGAAATGTCTATTATTCAAGTCCTTTGTCTATTTTTTTTACTTGGGGAAATCAATTTTTTTTTCAACTTTTATCTTAAAGGGGTACATGTTCAGCTTTGTTAGCTGGGTATATTTTGTGATGCTGAGGTTTGGAGTACAAATGATCATGTCACCTGGGTACTGAGTGTACCCAGTAGTTCGTTTTTCATCCCTTGCCTCACTCCTGACTTCTTCCTCTGGTAATGTTCAGTGTCTATTTTTGCCATCATTATGTCCATAAATATACACTATTTAGCTCCCACTTTTTATAAGTGAGAATATGCAGTATATGGTTTTCTCTTCCTGTGTTAGTTTACATGGGATAATGTCATTCAGTTGCATCCATGTTCCTGCAAAGGACACTATTTTATTCTTTTTCTATGGCTGCATAGTATTCCATAGTGTATATACACCACATTATCTTGCCATGGCCTGCTGTATAAAATTACTGTCAAAATAAGAGAGTCCATACATGATGAAAATAATAAAATGTCCAACATAGTGTATTCACATAAAAATAACTTACGAATAAATATTAGCTATCAACGTTTTTGGCTATCTTACATGTCCCCCATACTGTCATGCAACTAGCTCCAGAACACTGTTCATTAATTGAATGGATTGCTACTGGGTGCATATCTCCCTCTCAATTCAAAATCCAGCTGGTGTCCTTATTTCTATTTCTTCCCCTATCTCTCTTTATTCATTCCTAGCCATTGTATACATATTCTCTACCGACATTTGCATTTCAATAGACTCTAATATAGGCCTCTTCTCCACCCAGATTACTGTTTTTCTGTTACTACACACAAATAATACATTTTAGCTGTCTTCTGACTCCACTACCCTTACTTCATTCAAACTATTTTTCACACTCTGATATAGCCTTCTCCTTGAAAAGAACTCTCCTTTTTTTTTGGTCTCTTTACTCCCTTCTTACTTTGAAGATTTATGCCCTGTACCTGGTCATTACAAATACTGGCATTTTAAGTCTTATGCCTAGATCCACTTTGATCTATTTTCTCTTTCTAGCCAATAATAATTTTTTTTGGGTGAATCAATGTGTGAATAAGCATGTAAATGCCACTTAGTTCCATATCTTCTAGGTAATGAGTCAATACAATTTTCCTTAGAAGCTTTCCACTTATAAATATATTTGTTCCTTCTTTGGTAAAGTTTTTGTTGTTTTGTCTTACTTCATACTGAGGATGTGGTGTGAAATATTGCCTACAGGTGCTTATCATCCACAAACTTCTAATGAAACCCGCATAATAGTTCAATCGTTTTAATATTGACAATAACTTCGCTAAGCACTTTATATATTTCTCATTTAATTATCACCACAACGTGCTAGTTGTGTATTAACAACCCCAACTTGAAGATGAAGACACACCTTCCAGAAGTTTAGCAGCTGCACCAACTGAACACATCTAGTTAATGTTGAAACCAGAATTAATATAATGTTAGTGACGCTCTAAGCCACTGCTCTTTCCAGTGTTTCAATTTTCCTCTCATAAAATCAGATCAGTCACATTTGTGCCTATATATAAAAACTGACTTTGAGAAAAAAGATGATTAAATCAAAGATCTGAATCTTTTCAAAACAAAAATGAGTAACGAGATGTTGCAAAGCATGGTTATGTGTGTCAGTGTAATGTCAATTCGCCTGAAATTGACAGACCTAGTCTAAGAAACCATGAGAAATTGACAAATGGTAAGAGGGTAATTTCGAAAATAAAAATTCTCTCTAATAGCTAATAATATTATTAAAAATTGCTGCATCACACTAAAGCACTTTAAACTATATTAAATCAGAATATGAAATTTAAGGTATGCAGTAATCTGTATTAAAAATATCTATGGGTGATTTGGGAATTAAAAAATATATACTGAAGACTCCCTTCAGAAATACTCTACAATTAGTGACAGTAAATGTATCAATGTAGAGCTAATGAATAGAAGGCATATTACTTGATTAAGAAAACTAAGATCATAGCAACAAAATGCTTATTTTTATTAGTCTGCATATAATGGGCATATTCAAAAATGCCTTTTGCAAGTGGTAAAATTATTTAAAGTTTCTTATATTCTTTCAATTTGCATACGCAGTTGTTTGTAGGCAAAAAGGCAGTCTTGCTTCCATTGATAGAGACAGAAATTGAGTTTGTATTCTTTTCAAACTTGATAGTATTTAAAGAGCTTTGCACACAAATAATTTAGATTATGATATTTCCTCTGTTCTGTGTAACAGTTCTACCTTCTGTTCTGTACACATAGATATTCAAAGGACTATACCAAAAAAGGATCTTCTAAATGAGTTCAAATAAAGTGAATTTGGTTGGATTAGAAAGCAGTACTTTCATGAAACACTTAGATGAAGTCTGGAATGGCGGCACTTGATAATTTAACTTTTGTCTTAGTTCTCATCTCACCTAGATTCTTCAATAACGAAGGAGCATATTTTCAAGGTTTGTTTGTAGCTCATACAATAGTCAGGTAGTTCTAAAAAAAAATAGGTATTTATGGTGCGGTGAGGCTGGGCCATCAGAATAGCAGGATCAGTGCGCAGTTGGTCCTGAGATACAAAATTTATTGCAGGTTGAGTTATAATACAAATATTTGAAATCCAAAATGCTCCCAAATCTAAAACTATTTGAGTGCTGAGATGATGCCACAGGTGGAAAATTCCACACCTGACCTCATGTGCTGGGTTGCAGTCAAAACAGTCAAAATTTTGTTTCATAAACAAAATTATTTAAAATATTATATAAAATTACCTCCAGGCTATGTGTTTAAGGTATATATGAAACATAAATAAATTTTGTGTTTAGAGATGGGTTTCATTGCCAAGATATCTCATTATGTATATGCAAATATACCAAAATTCAAAAAATCCGAAATCCAGAACATTTCTGGTCTCAAGTATTTTGGATAGGGAATATTTAACTTGTAGTTCTAATTCTCTGATAAAAGGTTACAGTCATCCTTGCTTAAATAATGATCCCAAACAGAGTTCAGGCAAAAAAAAACAGTAACAGAAAGTGGAAAATGGATAACAGTTAGAAAATAGTAGGCTTTAGAGTATTACATAGTCCTTTTCATAGGATTGGCTTGAGTTTGGGAAAACTATGTAGCATCACTGAGATATAAAACAATGTTACCGTAACCATTTGTAAGTAAGATAAGAAATTGTGGGTTGATTTGCACATGGGAATAGTAAAATGGTAAAGTGAGAAGAGAATCTAAGGAGTTCTGTGTACACTTCACTCACTAAATATGCTGTTCCCATGGAAAACGGTGGAAACCAAACACTTAATTGGTTACAGGACATTTGTTCCGGTAAAACGGTAGTATCTAAACATGGTCAATTACTTGGTAAGTTTTTTTATTTTTTCTTTTTTTTCTTTTTTTTGAGACGGAGTTTCACTCTGTCGCCCAGGCTGGAGTGCAGTGGCACGATCTCTGCTCACTGCCACCTCCACCTCACGGGTTCAAGCGATTCTCCTGCCTCAGCCTCCAGAGTAGCTGGAATTACAGGCACCTGCCACCACGCCCGGCTAATTTTTTGTATTTTTAGTAGAGAAGGGGTTTCACTGTGTTGGCCAGGCTAGTCTTGAACTCCCGACCTCATGATCCACCCTCCTCGGCCTCCCAAAGTGCTGGGATTACAGGCGTGAGCCACCACTCCTGGCCGTGTTTTGTTTTTTTTTTTTTTCCCACATAAAGTCTCCTAAATACCTACCCAAACTTAAAGTGTTAGAATTTATGTGGAAAGAATTTCAAAACTGTATTTTAAAGAGCCCTCCAGTTAATGCTGACATGTGATCACCCAGGAACCCCTAAACTTAATCTGAATGGCTGTTATGCTCTTGACAAGTTTCTGTAAAACAGAAAGGAATGTCTTCATCCCTCTTTCAACTTTTCTAACTAGTGAACTACAAAGTTATATTTATTATTTAATAATCATAACCACAACAACAGCCTAACCAATTTTAAGCACCTTCCAAACAGGCCTATGGAAATTACTTTCCATGTGCTACTTAATTCTATTCACACAATTATGAAAAAGATAGGTACTATTGTTTTTCTACTTTATATAAAAAAAAATTCAAGAGATCAAGTACCTGCCCAATGTAAAACCTGATACATTTTAGATCTTTGATTCATTGTGTAATGTGGCAGACACGGAGATGCCCTCCCCAGATCCCTCTTCATAGAAAGATTTGTTGCCCCAAGTGCTGAGAGTGTGGTCAGCAGACACCTTCCAGCTGACAGCTTCTTCACAGTTTGTCTTAGGTAACAGAGCTGCCTTGTCCAAGGAAACACTCATTCTGGAGCTGCCCACATCCAGTGACTAATTAAGGCAAGTGTAAAGTGTACAAGGAACAGGCTATCCCAGCAACGACGGGACAATTTTGACAGGTCAAATATGCTCCTGCTAAACTGTTTATCTCTAATAAATACCATGCATGCTAATTTTCATTTCAGCATCTGCTTTGGGGTTGACAATCTGCAATACCAGGCAGATTGGATTTTTGAATCCATTGTTTCAAGCCACCGTATTTCTCTTACTCTTTTTCCTTCATTCTTTTCTATTTTCCATTGCAGGATGTTGTACATTATTGGGAAATAAACTCTGAGATACAGATTTGTGTGTAGAGTATTTACGGGAATGTACTCTCAAAATCAACACCTATTTCCTCAAGAGGAAACAGGATTGGGTAGAGGGCATAATAAATTGCTACACAGTCACAAGAAGGATTTTAAGTTATTTTACAGAGCTCTGGAGCTGAACTGACCATTCAGACTTTCTGCAATGAGGCAAAAGGGCCAGGCTATTACGTTCCAGAATTATGATCAGTTGCAAGCTGTGCCTAGGAAAGGAGTGTAATAAGTAGCTCACCAGTTGAGGGTAATTTTTAGAGAAGGGGTAAGCTGAGAGCTGAAAATAATCAATAATGCCAGCTGCTGGGGGAATGCAAGTAATGCAGTGCTGTAAATGAGGAGTTTCTGGGTAGTCTGCCAAAAGCATCTGCTATGATCCAGCCCTCACTCCATTTGGGTCCACAGTCTTATTTGATGTATTTTAGGAACTTTTACTTCAGGAACCTTCTTGACTTCCTTTCACAGGAACACAAAAGGAAGATTAGTAAGTAATTGATAACCCCTTCTGACTGCAACATATATATATATGCAATATATATATATATTATTTTCTATTTTGTCTGAAGGTGAGAAGCGCAGTTTCAGAGCTTTTGTCTTTGGATGATACTAAATATGTCCTTTTTTTCTTCCAATTTTTTATTACCCTCACCATCAACTAGACACTCTAATGAGGAGACCCAGAACCCCAGCAACTGGGAGTCTAAGCCCCTGGTCACCACACTTTCTCAGGCCATGGCTGCTAAATTAGTCAATTTATCCTTGAAACTGGCAAGAGAGTATCAAGACACACCAAAGTGTATTATTTGGGTGCCAAACATGCTCTTCCCTGCATACACCAGGTAACAACAGTTCTACCTCCTCCTGATTATCAAAATAATTATACCTACAGAATGGTGATCCCTATCCTTGTTAATAGTCTCTAGACTATCCATATGAGGAGCCCAACATTACAAAGTGCAAGCTATGTCTTAAGAATAAATGGGATTCTCCTTTTGGAAGAAATTTCTTTCTGGAAACTAGGACCCCTGTAAGCTCACAGAGCTTGGAGTTGTGGGAGGCGAAAGCACAAATTCCCCAAGCAGGTCACTGGACATGGTCGTAAGCAGAGCCACTTCTATTTCACTCTCTGATCCTTTGACCAATTTATTTTGCCTATTAAGGACAAAGTATCAAATAATAATTATTGACCTAGGATATCCACTGAGTCCTGGAGGTTGGTACCTCATCTATGCAAGGTATCATCTCCAAGTTGCATATCTCAGTTGGGTTGTCAGCTCCTGAATAGCATATTATGTCATAAGACCAGTAGATCCTACAGTCATGAGTCTACTTTCATACTTGCTGTAAAGAGGAGCCCTTGTTTCAGTGCAGTATCATTCAGGCTCTTGTGTTAATGGCTCAAATATCTGTCAGCCTTTAGATATCAGTGCTGAATGAAGCCATGCAAATAGGAAGGAAAAACTTATTGTTAGAATATGTGCTGAAGGGTTGAGATAAAGCATTGTCTCTTGAAGGGTAAAATAAATCTAATGTAATCAACTTGATTTCAAATAACTGGTACCTGATGTCCTGGAGGAATCTCTGATGTTTGTGGAGGTGGCATTAGCAATAGCTAGAATAGCCTTGGTGAATAAAAGCTGTGGCTGCGTAACATCCATTCCTACCACCATGTTCTCTTTCTTCATGCACCTGTTTTTTTTTTTTTTTTTTTTTTTTTAATTACTGACAGGGCTAATGACAGAGGTTAGTGGACATCAACTGGCAGTTATTTTTTTTTAACTTGGTTATTTAGACTCTCATTTGTAGGTTTTATTTTTTTTGTGTGTGTGTGTTTTATAAATCCCCATAGGTTCACCCAACTACAAGCCTTTTTCTGAACGTAATTTCACTCTGATTTTTCAAGCTCTCTCTTTAGTTCCTTTCAGCACCATGACTAATGAGTAAGCCCATTCACCACTACTTGTAATCCTGCATGTGTGTGTGTTTATGTGAGTATATACGTACATGCAGGCATACCTTGGAAATACCAGGGGTTTGGCTCCAGACCACCATAATAAAGTGAATATTACAATAAACAAGTCATATAACTTTTTGGTTTCCCAGTATATAAAAGTTACGTTACACTATGCTGTAGTCTATTAAGTGGGCAATAGCATTATGTTGAAAAAGTACATAACTTAATGAAATATATTTTATTCCTAAAGAATGCAAAGAATCATCTGAGCCTTAAGGGACTTAAAATCTTTTTGCTAGTGGAGGGAGGGTCTTGCCTTAATGTTGATTGCTGCTGACTGAACAGGGTGGTGGTTGCTTAAGGTTGGGGTGGTTGTGGCAATTTTTTAAAATAAAACAACAAAGTTTGCTGCACTAATTGACTCTTCATTTAATTAAAGATTTATCTTCCTTTCATTTGAATACTTAGAAGCCAAAATAGGGTTATGATATGGATTGGTTCTGTATCCCCACCCAAATCTCATCTTGAATTGTACTCCCATAATTCCCATGTGTTGTGGGAGGGTCCCCGTGGGAGATAATTTGAATCATGGGGGCAGTTTCCCTCATACTGTTCTTGTGGTAGTGAATAAGTCTCACGAGATCTGATGGTTTTACCAGGAATTTCTGCTTTTGGATCTTCTTCATTTTCTCTTGTTGCCACCACGTAAGAAGTGACTTTCACCTCCCACCATGATTCTGAGGCCTCCCCGGCCATGTGGAACTGTAAGTCCAATTAAACCTCTTTTTCTTCCCAGTCTCAGGTATGTCTTTATCAGCAGCATGAAAATGGACTAATACAGTAAATTGGTACGAACAGATTGAGGCATTGCTGAAAAAATACCAAAAAATGTGGAAGTGACTTTGGAACTGGGTAACAGGCAGAGTTTGGAACAGTTTGGAGGGCTCAGAATAAGACAGGAAAATGTGAGAAAGTTTGGAACTTCATAGAGACTTGGTGAATGGCTTTGACCAAAAGCCTGATAGCGATATGGAAAATGAGGTCAAGGCAGAGGTGGTCTCATATGGAAATGAAGAACTTGTTGGGAACTGGAACAAAGGTGACTCTTGTTATGTTTTAGCAAAGAGACTAGAGGCATTTTGCCACTGCCCTAGAGATTTGTGGAACTTTGAACTTGAAGATGATTTAATTCAGAAAATTTGCAGCCTGACAATGTGATAGAAAAAGAAAAATCCATTTTCTAAGGAGAAATTCAACCTGGCTGCAAAAATTTGCCTAAGTAACAAGGAGCAGAATGTTAATCCCCAAGACAATGGGGAAAATGTCTCCAGGGCATGTCAGAGGGCTTCAGGGCAGCTCTTCCCTTCACAGGCCCAGAGGCGTAGGAGAAAATGATTTCCTGAGCCTTGCCCAGGGTCCCCGTGCTGTGTGCAGCCTAGGGACTTAGTGCCCTATGTCCCAGCTGCTCCAGCTGTGGCTGAAAGGGGCCAACATAGAGCTTGGGCCATGGTTTCAGAGGGTGCAGGCCCCAAGCCTTGGCAGCTCTCACGTGGTGTTGAGACTGTGCATACATGGAAGTCAAGAATTGGGGTTTGGCTGAGAAAAACAAGCAATGGGAAAAGGATTCCCTATTTAATAAATGGTGCTGGGAAAACTGGCTAGTCATATGCAGAAAACTGAAACTGGATCCCTTCCTTACACCTTATACAAAAATTAACTCAAGATAGATTAAAGACTTAAACGTAAGACCTAAAACCATGAAAATCCTAGAAGAAAACCTAGGCAATACCATTCAGGACATAGGCATGGGCAAAAACTTCATGTCTAAAACACCAAAAGCAATGGCAACAAAAGCCAAAATTGACAAATAGGATCTAATTAAACTAGAGAGCTTCTGCACAGCAAAATAAACTATCATCAGAGTGACCAGGCAACCTACAGAAAGGGAGAAAATTTTTGCAATCTATTCATCTGACAAAGGACTGATATCCAGAATCTACAAAGAATTTAAACAAATTTACAAGAAAAAAACAACCCCATCAGAAAGTGAGCAAAGGATACGAACAGACACTTCTCAAAAGAAGACATTTATGTGGACAACAAACATGAAAAAACACTTATCATCACTGGTCATTAGAGAAATGCAAATCAAAATCACAACGAGATACCATCTCACACCAGTTAGAATGGCGATCATTAAAAAGTCAGAAAACAACAGATGCGGGGGAGGATGTGGAGAAATAGGAATGCTTTTACACTGTTGGTGGGAGTGTAAATTAATTCAACCATTGTGGAAGACAGTGTGGCAATTCCTCAAGGACCTAGAAACAGAAATACCTTTGACCCAGCAATCCCATTACTGGGTATATACCCAAAGGATTATAAATCATTCTACTATAAAGACATATGCACATATATGTTTATTGCGGCACTGTTCACAATAGCAAAGACTTCGAACAAACTGAAATGTCCATCAATGATAGACTGGATATAGAAAATGTGGCACATATATATCATGGAATACTATGCAGCCATGGAAAAGGATGAGTTCATGTCCTTTGCAGGGACATGGATGAAGCTGGAAACCATCATTCTCAGCAAACTAACACAAAAACAGAAAACCAAACACCACATATTCTCACTCGTAAGTGGGAGTTGAACAATGAGAACACATGGACACAGGGAGGGGAAGATTACACAATGGGGCCTGTTGTGGGATGGAGGGCTAGGGGAAGGATATCATTAGGAGAAATACCTAATATACGTGATGGTTTGATGGGTGCAGCAAACAACCATGGCACGTGTATACCTATGTAACAAAACTGCACATTCTGCACATGTACCCTAGAACTTAAAGTATTAAAAAAAAAGTATTGGGGTTTGGGAACCTCCGCCTAGATTTCAGAAGATGTATGGAAACACCTGGATGCCCAGGCAGAAGTTTGTGCCAGGGGTGGGGCTCTCATGGAGAACCTCTACTGTGGCAGTGCAAAAGGGAAATGTGGGGTCAGAGATGCAAGAAGGGAACCCACTTCTTGCATCAGCATGACCTGGAGGTGAGACCTGGAGTCAAAGGAGATCATTTTGGAGCTTTAAAATTTGACTGCTCTGCTGGATTTCGAACTTGCATGGGCCCTGTAATCCCTTTGTTTTGGCCAATTTCTCCCATTTGGAACGGCTGTATTTACCCAATACCTGTACCCACATTGTATCTGGGACATAGCAAGCTTGCTTTTGATTTTACAGTCTCATAGACAGAAGGGACTCGCCTTGTCTCAGATGAGACTTTGGACTGTGGACTTTTAGGTTAATGCTAAAATGAGTGAAGACTTCGGGGGACTGTTGGGAAAGGCATGATTGGTTTTGAAATGTGAGAACATGAGATTTGGAAGGGCCAGGGGTGGAATGATATGGTTTGGCTTTGTGTCCCCACCCAATTCTCACCTTGAATTGTACTCCCATAATTCCCATGTGTTGTGGGAGGACCCCGTGGGAGATAATTTGAATCATGGGGGCAGTTTCCCCCATACTGTTCTTGTGGCAGTGATTCTGTCTCACGAGATCTGATGGTTTTATCAGGAATTTCCACATTTGTATCTTAATTTTCTCTTGCTGCTGTCATGTAAGCAGTGCCTTTCACCTCCCACCATGATTATGAGGCCTCCCCAGCCATGTGGAACTGTAAGTCCAATTAAATCTCTTTTTCTTTTTAGTCTCAAGTGTGTCTTTATCAGCAGTGTGAAAATGGACTAATCCAGTTATTATCTGGCCTAATTTTAATATTGCTGATTCTGGGGATAGAGAGGCTGTAGAAGAAGGAGAGAGATAGGGGAATGGCCAGTTTGTGGAGCAGTCAGAACACACACAACATTTATTGATTAAATTTGCTATCTTTTATGGTCGTAGTTCGTGACACCCCAAAATAATTACAATAGTAACATCAAATATCACTGATCACAGATCACGATGACAGATATAATAATGAAAAAGTTCAAAATATTGTAAGAATTACCAAAATGTGACACAGAGACACAAAGAGAGGACATGCTGTTAGAAAAAAAATGGCACTGATAGACTTGCTCAACACAGGGTTTTCACAATGTTCAATTTGTAAAAATTGAAATATCTAAGAAGTGCAATAAAACAAAGTACAATATAATGAAGTAGGCCTGTAAACATGTTTGTGTACACACACGTACCTATACCCTTCAGGCTACTTCTTTTTATAGATAATGTGGCTGGCCAGGCACACAGACTAAATTCCTGCTGATTTACCCCTCATTGCTTTCTTTCTGTTATCTCTGAGTGAGCCTTTAGTGCAGCTAAAAAGCACTTTTCACCTGAATCCAAAATTCAAGCTGACAATTCCATTAAACAAGCATATTTTCTCTTCTCCTTCAACTTGTAATGGTGATGGCTGCTGAAGCCATAGATGTAAACTGAGGAAGAGCTACTGGGGCAAAAGCTGTAGATGACGTGCAGGTCTGAGCCTCTAGTTGATGTGGTTTACTTGAGACCTCCCAAATGCTTGACTGCTTGACTGTGACACTAGATGAACTATTTTCTTTTTCTTTCTTTCTTTCTTTCCTTTTCTTTTTTTTTTTTTTTTTTAGATGGAGTCTCACTCTGTCACCCAGGCTGGAGGGTGGAGGGCAGTGGCACAATTTTGGCTCACTGCAATCCTGCAACCTCTGCCTCCTGAGTAGCTGGGATTACAGGCATGCATCACCATGCCTGGCTAATTTTTCTATTTTTAGTAGAGACAGGCTTTCACCATGTTGGCCAGGCCAGTCTTGAACTCCTGACCTCAAGTGATCCTCCTGCCTCAGCTTTCCAAAGTGCTGGGATTATAGGCATAAGACACTGTGCCTGGCCTAGAGGTACTATTTTCATCTTAGCTCATGTCAGTATGCTCTAACAAAGACATCATATATATCATAGTAGGTGCAAATGGGACTGCTACTAGGATAGCTTTTCAAAAACCAACTGTCATCCTCCATCATCATTTAATTTTTATAGGAGCTAGACTTGAGATAAATGAAAATATTAGACACACTACACATGCATCTTTTATGTTATTAAAATCATCACTAACTTCTGCTATTCCACCTGGAGTGTTTTATACACATATGTATACAAGCACACACACACACACTTTAAAAAATATGCCATCTAGGTTAAGCTGTAGTCAATTTCAGAGGGAGGCTTCTATTTGACCTTACCCCCTATAATTGCACTATAATCACTCTTACCACACACCTTGCATCAGTCAGGACAATAGAAACAGAACTGATAACAAGATTATATTGTACATACATACACACATACAAAGCATATAGGTTCTGTATTCCTTTGATAATTCTAAATTTATTGAGTCTCAAATCCATTTTCATTTCTATGATACCTAGAACAGAGGAAGGAAACAATTGCTATAAATAAAAAATATGTTTTCAATACCAAGTCATATCATATCTACACATTGACGTATTATCTTCAAGTCCTTAACCTGGCATCAAAAACACTCACTATTGGTTACGGTAAGATGTAATTATACCATAGGCCTTTGGAATGCTCAGAACACAGCTGATTTAATAATTTTTAAGACCTTTACTTTGAAATGAAAACTAAAAAAACTAGAGTTAATTAAGAGTATGTTGGCAAAAATGGTAAAAATTTAAATATTATAACCAGAGGAAAGCAACAGAGGTTCTTCAGCCTGAAAACATTACCCATTATTGGGCATGAGAGGGCATGAAAGAAAGATATATTGACATCTTTAAAGGGATTCCTTCACGTGTTGCTAAGAGAGTAAAAGAAGGCTCAGGTGAAAGCTATGAAGAGAAGACTTGAAATTTAGTAGGGGACAAATAATTGAGAAATAAGATTGTACATAAAATAGAATGGCTGGCTCGTGTCTCATTCCCTAGTTAATTTATTCTTTAAATATTTGTATTGACTGCATACTTTATACTAAGTCTTTGCTGGTAGATGGGATATCGAAATGAATCAAATGTGGCCAATTTCTGCTTTAGAGATGTCATAGTTTTGGGGAGAAGAAAAATTGTAGACAAATGACTGCAATCAAGTTCTATGTTTAATGATGGAAAATATTGAGATAAAAAAGTGGGCAAGGTGCATTACACTTGGGCAGGGGACATGAGGTAGGAGTGACACGCCCAATGAGAAAAAGTTTCAGAGGGTACAACATGTGCAAGTAAAGGCAAAATGATCACCCTTAACCTTTGCTATGGTGGAGATTCCTACATTAATAAAAGTTGGAATTATCCACTCTTGCCCACCCTCTGCATTCTCCAAATCCTTTTCCTTTTCCTTGTAGATTTTGTTGCTAACTGAAATAATCTTGCCCATCTATTTGCTAATATCCTTATTGTCTTTTCTTCATCATGCTGGAGTGGGAGAACAATGTTTACAATTCTATCCCCAGTGCGTAGGTCTCTGCCTGGCACAGTACAGGTGCTCAATAAATGTCTTTTAAGTGAAAGGAGAAAAATCAACCTAGATTTATCTATGACTCTAGTATCTTATAATTCTAGGTTCCTGTGAATAACATGCATCTATAAATGTTCTTATACTTCACGTAGCACTACTCAGGGTGGCAAACATAAAAATCTCATTTTGAATAACAGTCACACCTGGCTGTCATTTTACACTGAAATGCTCCATGTGCTTTAATTCAATGGCAATTAGACTTAAAGCTTGACTATATTGATTGAAGGGCAACAAACTACAGCTTGTTGGTCATAGTTGTTAAGTATTCAAGCCAAGTACTTGTGATTAATTGGCAAACAGCAGCATGTGGGCCTATATGTCCCCAGGCTCAGCTACATAGACATGAATGCAGATTTTTACAGGGAGGCCAGCTCTTCTCATCCTTTTGACTCTCAATGCCTGGAATTTCATTTTCATACCAAGAGGATTTGCTTGAATTACTGAGCACCAAATTAGGTGTTTTAAAAGTCTCAAATAACAGATCTTTCAAGCTAAACTACCCAAAGGTATCAAACTATGCAAGTCAATCAATAAGCGACTTGTGGATGTGGGAAAACTGTGGTTATGCTGTAGGTACCAAGTGTAATATATGCTTTCCTGAATTATCCAGCAGATTTAGAAGAATCCCTGAAGTCGGTTTATCATTTTCATTTTTTTCTTGTTTTTTTAAATTTTCTTTTCTTTTCAAATGTAATGGAGGAGAGGAGGGCTATAGGAGGTTTTGATATATACTTATGTTGTCGGTCTGTCTTGTGTGTCTTAATTTACAATATTAAACTATAGGACCTTAAAAATTAGTATTTTCAAGCATATAACATACGCCATGTGACCTCTAGCTCAGTTTTATGCTGCTAATTATTTGGCTCCCAGAAGCAGCAGGAAACTGTCCAAAAAATGAGGCTGATTCCCAAGGAGGGAGCACTGAAAAATTACCCACACAGTAGGAGGCACAATCCATTGTTATTCTATCACTGATGTAGGAGGGGAAAATACCCGACAGAAATTAAATGCAAATATTCCCCCTTTCTTTTTTGTCAAAAACGCTTGCTCAGGGCCAGAAATATCTCAACATAGGTACCAGTATGTGCTTGACTCATCAGGGTTCATTTCACGATCTGTTGTACTATTTCTGTGATCTTGGTCTCTCATCCTGCAACTAAGAATGAGTTATGGCTTTCCTCTTCTATAATTTTTATAATTATTTTTTGTGGACATCATCTTACAAGGTGACAAAACACTCCTGGGGATCTCCGTTTGTCTATTCACATACTGCTTGACTCAACCAAAAATTCATGGCTTTTCAGTGTGGTGGTAGTTCAATTCTTATCTTTTTGTTGTGTTTCAGATAAATATATAAGATCTATATGTTCTTATTTGGCAAGAGGCTCAGGAATAAGAATTTTAACTATTCATATATTTTTAGTATGTATTTTTGACAGCACGTTTTAATAAACACAATGGGCTTTAATGTCCCAAAGAGTCTGGGTTTAATTTCTAACTCTATCTTTTACTAAAAGTACAATCTTTGGTGATTTACGTAACCATTTGAGATACATTTTATAAATTACAATATTGCAAAGAAACCATGAGATGCACAAAACTGAATGAGGTATGGTCCTTGTTTTCAAATGGTCCGTGATGCAATGAAAGAAAAAGACACAAAAAATAGATTATTTCAATAGAATAAAATTCTAAGATATGTGTAGGTGTTAGGATAATTCAGGAAAGCATACAGAGGAGGGAAAGAAATTATCCTAAGTAAGATACTTTTACGTAAGTGCAGTTCTTAAATCATAGAATAATAATGAACTCGCCATGATTTATCTACATGTATTTCATTCGAATCATATCCAGCATTCAAACCCAAGATTAGAATATGCGTGTTTCTTCCTTCAAACTGCAGATCCAGTTCAAGCTTCACTATAAATTCTACCTGGCTACTTGTTTCTACATTGCTAACTCCTTTTTTTTCCCTCAAAGCTCTTAACACCATGGCTGCACTAGCTCACATTTTATTTCTTATTCCTAAGCTAAGCTTGAATTTATTTTAATTGCTTTATCTGTCTTGATTCCAAAGTGAGATTAAAAGTTTTCAGACATTATCAGTACACACGGACTCATTTTATGGCTTTTCACTGTTCCACATCTAATATACCTAGGACATTTGCAATATATAGTCAATAGATACACTTTAATGGGATTTCTTTTGTCTCTCATGGTTTTGTTTATGAGAGAGGTACTATAGGCTCCCAGTGAATGTTCTTGACTCAATTACTTAGTCTCCTATATTCTTGAGGGCTTTCTTTCACTGGTAATATCCAAGTGAACTTTAACAAAAACTATATATTTCAAACTTATCTGTATCTCAATTCTTATGTTCACATTAAATGGTAACAGGACTATAAAAGTTCAGACCTTGCAAAAATTATATTATTTCTTTTTTTTTTTTTTGAAATGGAGTCTTGCACTGTTTCCCAGGCTGGAGTGCAGAGGCGCGATCTCGGCTCACTGCAAGCTCCGCCTCCCGGGTTCACGTCATTCTCCTGCCTCAGCCTCCCGAGTAGCTGGGACTACAGGCACCCGCCACCACGCCCGGCTAATTTTTTGTACTTTTAGTAGAGATGGGGTTTCACCGTGTTAGCCAGGATGGTCTCGATCTCCTGACCTCGTGATCTGCCCACCTCGGCCTCCCAAAGTGCTGGGATTACAGGCGTGAGCCACTGCGCCCGGCCAAATTATATTATTTCTTACTATAAAGTGTATGATTGAGGACTGCAGAGAAATGTTCTGGTGGACTCCCTATATTGTAATCACTTGAGAAAAAAGTTGTTGTAAAATATGAAATTATCATCACAGTCTTTTCTTTTTGAATGGAAGTATAAAATATGAAAAATGTGTGTATTTTTTTTTTTTTTTGAGACAGGGCTTTGCTCTGTTGCCCAGACTGGAGTTCAATGGCCCAACTACAGCTCATTGTAGCCTGGACTTCCTTTGTTCAAGCAATCCTCCTGCCTCAGCCTCCCAAGTAGCTGGAACTATAAGTGCACACCACCACGCCTGGTTAATTTTTGTATTTCTTTGTAGAGACAGGGTCTCACTGTGTTGCCCAGACTGGTCTCAAACTCCTGGGTTCAAGCAGTCTTCCAACCTCAGGCTTTCCAAATGCTGGGATTACAGGTGTGGGCCACCATGCTCAGCTTGCTCATATAAAGACTGTGTCACAAATATTTCTGGGGAATTTTTTCATGTATGTATAGGCTGTTTGGTATATTAAACATATTTTTAAAAATAAAAGGCAAAGAGTTTCAACATGCTAGCCATTTTTGAAGGCATGGATGGGTTTACATAGAGGTAGGACTTGTGTCTCTTATTTGCAAAATAAAGTAGGATTCTGCTAAGAGACATACTCAGTAAGTCAAGTAGGATTAATGTGAACAAAACCCTGTGAGCATGATGGATCAGGGCCTAATCTTGTTGAGTAGCTGTTATTTATTAGCAACTGCTGGAATCCTTATAATCATTTTCTGACTTAGCTCTTAGAACTCTGAGGTGATTTATTATTTTTAGCCTCGTGTTCTAGTTATTTCTTGCTGAATAACGAGCTACCCCATTTTAATGGCATAAAGTAACCACATTATATGATGCTGTTTGTTCTGTGATCAGAAATTTAGACTGTAGATGTAGCTTGCCTCTCTTCCCATGCCTTAGTTAAGGTGACTCAAATGGTAGAGGGGAGAAAGCATCTGCATGCTTCTTCACTCAGGTATCAGGTATGTGTGGAGTGTCTTTATATGAGCAAGCTGAGTGTGGTGGCCCACACCTGCAATCCCAATGTCTGGGCTCACATTCAATGTCTGGGCTCAGCTGACTGACACTGCCAACAAAATAGGTTGGCATTGCCCAAATAGGACATCTCCATGTAGCTTGGGCTTCTTGTAGCTTATAGAACAAAGCATAAGCTGTGTGAACTCCAGAACAAACACCTCCAAATTATAGGACAACTCTTAGCCCAGAACCACTCTTCAAAAATTTCCTTTCCTCCTATTATCACCATATGTAGTAGCATCGTAATGTTACATTTTTACAGACCAGGAGACATTGTACTTCATGTATGTTTATATGTTTTGATATGTTTATGAAAACTTAAAAAAAAAACCCTAACATTGTGTCACAAGAAGGAAATGCATTTTTTTCTCCGAGATGTTTTGAGTATTTTCCAGGATGAAAATGGTCTCTTTTTTAAACACAGGAATCAAGAGATATTTTCTTTTTACACATATATAAAACAAAAATAATCCAACTCAATTGTTTAAAATCTCTGTTGAAATGTATACAGAGAGGAATCTTCTTTTGTTTTCTTTTTTTTTGTGGGTCTGCAAAACTGAGAGAGAAGAAAGGTGTCAAAATCAACTATCTGAACCTCTATTATTTTTTTAAAAGTGAAAACAGGGAGCAATGCCTGTGACAAAAGTAACCCCAAGGATCTGGACTTCCACAAAAACATTGACAAGAAAGACAGAATCAACTTTGTCAGAATTCAGGAAAAGAGTCAAATATTTGCAGCAACAAGCAAACATTGAATCAAGAAAAGAGCAACTTAAAAATAATTTGTGCTTGCCCTTTTCCCACCCCATTTTCAGCATGGTGGCAATATTGAAGATGTCAGTCTGCATCCCCAGTGTTGCATACTGGTCCCTGGTTCCAGATAGAGACACTGAGGACGGTAAAGATCACCTGGGTACCATCGAGCAGACCATCCAAAGGCAAAACTCCTTATCTGAGAAATTTAGAAATATAATGAAAAGAACAAAGACCACCTGCTGGGCATCAAGCAGACCATCCAGAAGTAAAACTCCCTACCTGAGGAATTAGAAGTAATTAGACTTCCCTATTATCTAAAGCTGGCATCTGGTACCAGGCTTTTTTTTAAAATATATATATATATTTTAAGTTCTAGGACACATGTGCAGAACATGCAGATTTGTTACATGCCATGGTGGTTTGCTGCACCCATCAACCCGTCATCTACATTAGGTATTTTTCCTGATGCTATCCCTCCCCTAGCCCCCTCACCCCCCAACAGGCCCTGGTGTGTGATGTACCCCTCCCTGTGTCCATGTGTTCTCATTGTTCAACTCCCACAGTAGCAGGCTTAAAAAAATTATAAAGAGAATTTTGATATATTTATAGAATGCATGCAGGTCAAAACTCATTGTGCAACCCTTGATGATATCATGACACCAAAATGTGTACGGCACCAAAATGTCTACAATGTAATCATTTATCATGACTTATGTTGCTAATACCGTCCAAATTACCCTTAAACTCTGGCTTTACAGTCCATAAATACCCATAGGGAAAAATCCACTGCTGTGTGCTCATACTTTCTATTTAATAAAACTTTCGTTTTCAAACCTATAATATCATAGGTAAATGCTTCTTACTACCCTACAACCTGCAAACCAACCATTTTTTGATGTTGGGACTCTGATGCCTCGCCAGGCAGAAGCCATAAAAATTATTATTCATGAAGAAAGAATGGTGTTTGTCTGTTCCAACTTGTCTCAAGTCGACCTGAAGTACAGATACAAGGGGCCTGTTTTAGTTTCATCTAATTAGGAACTCAGGATAAAAAAGTAATAGGCATTCTTCAGAAACACTGTAAGCAAATATACAACTTACAGCCACTGGGGGCAAAAGATTACAATTCAAAAGACACAATAGATCTACCGAATCGAAGGAAACAAGAGAACACTGAAACCATGAAAGCAAAAGCTGGAGAGAGTTTAATTGGGAAATTATGGCTTCAAAAGTGTTTGTGAATACTGGACATTTTGGAAAGTAATGCATGTACCCAGAGCTAGATCCCTGCTCAGAAAAGATCTGAGAAGACTCTAAGCTTTGTCTTCTGGCTGATCATGAGGATCAGCACAAGCACTCGGTGAGAAATACGACAGAGTTGTAGAAAGCCTGGCTACACATTGAAAAAGGGTCCTAGCACAGAACTAATCTATGTAGATAGTAAGAGTTCCCTTTCTTATTGTTGTTCTTCTTCTTCTTCTGCTGCTGCTGCTGCTGCTTCTTTCTCTTTCTTTTCTTTCTCCTTTTCTGATGTTCAGTAAAATCTATGTCAAAACACTAACTAAATATAAAAGAACAGACTTCAGAAAACACATCAGATAAAGAAAATAGACATTATAAAATTGTTTTGAAAACTTAGTAAACAATCAGCAATAAAATACATATTATGAGGGGGAAATACAGATCTTGAGTTACCACATTAGAATGTTCAAAATGTCCAGGTTTTAACAAAAAATTATAAGGCATGGAAAAAATCATGAATGTATGACTCATTCACAAAAGAAATTTACAGAAACCATCCCTGAGAAAGCATAAACATTGGATTTACTAGATACAAACTTTAAAGAAAGAGTCAACTATGCCCTTAAAGATCTAAAGAAAATCATGAAAAAGTACTAAAGGAAACCAAGAGAATGATGTATGCACAAATAGAAAATAACAATAAAAAGATTGAAATTATAAAAAGAAAGAAGTCCAAAACTTCTGTAGCTAGTAAGTACAGGAATTGAAATTTCAAGAAAATTATAAGAAAGTTTATATATTAGCTTCAAGCAGACAGAAGACATTACAAACAAACCTGAAGACAGATTCATTTAAATTATTCAGAATGAGAAGAACAAAAAAAAATAAGGAAAGCTAATAGAGCTTACGAGACCACTGGGATATCATCAAGCATACCAATTTATGTATTATGAGAATTAAAGAAAAGTAAAGACAAAAGGAGATACAGAAAATATTATAAAAAATAATGGCCAAAACTTCTCACATTTAATAAATGACACTAATCTACATATTTAAGAAGTATAGTGCATTCTAGTAAAGATAAACACAAAGAGCTATATGTTGAGACACCTTATAACTAAATTGTTGAAAGCCAGTCAAATTAAACATTTTCAACAAAGCAAGAGCGAGATACTTTGTTACATACAAGGAATCTTCAGTAGGATCAATGGAAGATTTCTCATCAGAAGCCACAGAGGCCAAAGGGGAGTGGGATGGCATTTTTTTAAGTCCTAAAAGAAAAAAAAGTTCTTGACAAATAATAATTTTGTCCAGCAAAACTAGTTTTCATATATGCAATAAAAATTAACACATCCTCAGATTTCTTTTTTAAAGCTGAGGAAGGGAATATGTCACTACTAACCATGTCCTAAAAGATGTATTCAGGGGAATTTTCCAGCCTGAAATAAAAATAAGCTAGACAAAGAGTTGAAGCTATATGAAGAAATAAAGAAATCCAGTAAAGGTATATTTACATAGGTAAATATAAAAGACACTATCATTGTATTTTTGGCTTGTAATACCTCTTAAAATTTCCTATATGACTTAAAAATCAAATGCTAAAACATAACCATAAATGTATGGTAATACACATGGAATGAATAAAGATGTAGTTCCTGACAATGACAATGTAAGAGAGGGTGGAACAATATAGGAACAGAGTTTTGAATGCTATTAAAGTTAAGTTAGCATCAATTCAGACTACATGATTATAAATTTAGAACATTTCTTAAATTCTATGATAATCGCTAAGAAGAACTCAAAAATATACATATAAAAGTGTATGAGAGGGAAATCAAAACAGTACACTGCCAGTAATAAAAATAAGATGGTAATGAAAGAAATGAATAATGAACAGAGAACACATGTAGCAAAATATCAGAAGTAAGTTCTTTCTTTATCAGTAATTACCTTAAATATAAATAGATTCAATTCTCATGTCAAGAGGCAGAGATTGGCAAAATGAATTTATAAAGAAAACCACTTGATCCCACTATGTACTATATATAAGGCTTATTTTAGATCCAACGACATAAATAGGTAAAATATGAAAGGATGGAAAAAGGTATTCTACATATATACCAATAAAAAATGAAGTAGGCATGCTAATATCAGACATACACTTGAACTAAAAAGTATTTACAATAGAAAAAGAACAGCATATATTGATAACAGAGTCAAATCATCAAAAAAATTTAAAAATTATAATCCTATATGGACCAAAAAACATAGCCCCAAAATCTATAAAGCAAACATTGACAGAATTGAAGACATACAGAGTTCTACAATAATACTTGGAGTACCTTAATATCCCACTTTCAATAATAGATAGAACAACCAAACAGAAGATCAATAAAAAATAAAGAAACTGAAAAAACACTATAAACCAATTAGGCCTAACAGACATATAAAAAAGACTCCACCCAACAATAGAATATACAGCATTATATACATTCTGCTCAAGTGTACACAGAACATCCCTTAGCACAGACCATATGTTAGGCCACATAAAAAGTCTCAGTGAATTTAAAACTATTGAAATAACATAAATTAGCTTCTCAGATAAAATTAAATAAGCCACAAATAAATGACAGAGGGAAAACTGAAAAATTTACAAATATGTGGAAATTACCCAACATGCTGTTGAACAACCAATGTATCAAATAATACATCACAAGAAAATGAGAAAATAATTATAGATGAATAAAATAAAAACATAATACACTAACATGTATAAGATGCAACAAAATTATTTCTAAGAGGGAATTTTATAATGGTAAAACCTGTATTTTTTTTAAAAGGAGTATATCAAATAAATACATTAATGTTACACCTAATTCAATAAAAACTATTGCAAATTAAACCTAAAGCCTAGGAGAAGAAGGGAAATAATCAAGATTGGGGTAAACAAAATAGACAATATTAAAACAATAGAAAGAATAAAAAAACAAAAGTTAATTCTTTGAAAAAATTTATAGAATTGGCAAACATTTAGCTAGATTCACTAAAAAAAAATACAAAGTGCAAGAAACATATCAGAAATGTAAGTGGCAACGTTACACCAACATGACAGAAATGTGAAAAATGATTATAAGAGAATACTATGAACAACTATACATCAGAAAATTAGATAGGCTAGATGAAAAGGACAATTCTTAAAAACACACAATTACCAAAAGTGATTCAAGAAGAAACAGAAAATCTTAACAAACCAAATAACAAGTAATAAAATTGAAGTAGTTATCAAAAATCTTACCAAAAAGAGCTCAGATCAGATGGTTTTGCTACTGAATCCTACCAAAAATTTTAAAGAAGGATTAACACTAATTCTTCTCAAGCTCTTAAAAAAATGAGTAAGATAGATAAGTAATTCAATGAGGCTAATATTACCCCTTATATCAAAGTAGAAAGCAAATGCGTAAGTACAGGAAAATATGACTTTTGAATATAGATGTAAAAATCCTCAATAAAATAATACTGAACTGAATCCAGTAGCATATTAAAAGATTATACACTATGGCCAAGTGAGATTTATCCTAGTAATACAGTGTTTCAACATAAGCAAATCAATCAATATAATACATGTAACTAAAACAATAGGGGAATACCACATGATTATATCAGTCAATGCAGAAAAGTATTTGACAAAATCTAACACCACTTCATAAAAAAAAACTCTAAAAATTATCAATTGATGGGAACTTCCTTTACACAAGAAAGTGCATTCAAGAAAAATTTACGTCTAAAACGATACTCAAGTGATGTCAGCAGTCTGACAGAGTAGAAGATACCAGCCTTCATCCCCTCACAAGAGACAGCAAATAGATACTTGTTCCGCAAAGGTCACTGGCATCTTTTGTCACTGAGATAAATAAGAGCCATTACTGCTTACTGGCCCCTTGGAGAGGATACGCTGCTGCACCCACCATCCACAAGAGTGAGCCTCTGTTTTATTACCCTGGGACCAGGACCAACATACCTCTCAAATCCATGTGCAGCAGTTCCACGCATGTCTGTATTCCATATCCCAGCTCTGCAGCCACACTGCACGCCTGCACCTCAAACACTGAGGGCACTGACATTTAGACATTTAGAATGCCTGCAAGGCAGACTCAGTTCCCATAGGATTCCCTCAGCCATGACTTCTTCATGGGAGAAAAATAGATTAGGAAGATCCCAGTAGCCTTCACCACCAAAGACTGCACATTACCTTGGAGCCTCGGTGGATCTGCACACACCAATGCCACACACTGTGGCTCCACCACCACTACATGAGTACCTATACTTTAGACATCTGAGCCACTGCCCCTGTACTCCAGACTCTAGCTCTGTGCCTCCACCGCTCATGTGTTTTTACCTCAAACACCAGAGCCACTGTATCACCATCTTTGTGGGCTAGGCCATACCCCAGTTATTGCCACAGTGGGTCTCTCTGCATGTACCTGTCCTCTGGGTACCATTTCTACTGCTATATTGGGAGCAGCCACACCTTAGACATCTGAGCCACTACCACAGTGGGATATCCTGTGCCTCAGGCCCCGTAGCCACTGTCACTCCCCACCTTTCCATGATTCAGTACCCAGTTGCTCTATCAGCATTTGCACCTAACATACCACAACAAACATGGCAGCAGAGGCACCTGCTGAAGATCAATGAAAGTGGAAAAACAACATACCAAAACTTATGAGATGCAGCAAAAACAGTTCCAACAGTGAAGTTTATAGCAATAATGGCTATGTTCTAAAAAAAAATCTGTAAATAATCGAACGTTACACCTCAAGTATGTAAAGAAACAACAATAAACTAAGCTTAAAGTTATTAGAAGGAAGAAAATACAAAGATAAGTGCTGAATGAAAGAGAGGCTAGAAAAAAATGGAAAATATTCACAAAACTAAGAATTGATTTTTTAAAAGATAAAATTGACAAACCTGTAGCTAGATTACAAAAAAAAGAGAAATCTCAAATAATAAAATCAAAACGAAAGAGGACAGACATTACAACTGATATTGTAGAAATACAAACGATCATTACAGACTGCTATGAACAGCTATATGCCAAAAAATAAGAAAGAAAAAAATGAATAAATGCTTAAAAATATACAAACAACTGAGAATGAATCATGAAAAAATAGAATATATGAACAAATACCAAGTAAGTAGATTGATGAAGTAAAAAGTCTCTCATAAAAGGAAAGCCTAGGGCCTGTGTTATTACTGCTCCATTGTACCAAATATTTAAAGAATTAATACCAATAATCTCAAATTTAACCAAAAATATAAAGAGGAGCAAACACTACTAAACTAATTTTACAAGGACAACATTACCCTGATACCAAAGTCAGACAATAACACTAAAAAATACAAAATTGCAGGCCAACATCCCCATGAACATAGATGCAAAGCATTTACCAATTACAGACAAATAAAATTTAACAGTATATTAAAATGATCGTATCCCTCAATCAAGTGGGATTTATCCTTGGAATGCAAAGATAGTTAAACATACACAAATACAAAAATGTGATACACTGCATGAGCAAAATGAAGGATAAAAATCATATGATTATATCCTATTTGACAGTGTTCAAAATCCTTTTATAAAAAAAACTCTCAATAAATTAGATACAGAAATAATCTACCTCAACTTAGTAGAGGTCATGTATTGCAAGGCCACAGCTAACATCATACTCAAAAGTGAAAACCAGAAAGCATTTTATCTACAATGAAGAATAAGATAAAGATCCCCACTCTCACCATTATATCCAACACATTAATAGTACTGGAAGTCCTAGCCAGAGCAATTAGGCAAGACAAAAAAATAAAGTGCATACAAATTAGAAAGGCAGATGTTAAATTGTCTGTTTGCAGATGGCATGATCTTATGTACAGAAAACCTTAAAGTCTCCACCAAAAGACAGAAATCATGAACAAATTCAGGAAAGTTTCAAGATACAAAATCAACATACAAAAATCAATTGTGCTTCTATATGTTAACAATGAGCTAGTTGAAAACAAAATCAACAAAATAATCCCATTTAAAAGAGCATCAAAAATAATAAATAGGAATAAAGTTTAACAAGATGATGAAAAATCTATACACTGAAAAGTACAAAATAATGATGAAAGAAATCAGAGAAGATACAAATAAGTGGAAAGATACACCATTTCCATTGCTTGGAAGAATGAATATTTTTTGAAATGCCCACACTACCAAAAGCGATCTACAGATTCAGCACAATCTCAATCAAAATTCTAATAGTATTTGTAACAGATACAGAAAAAATGTTAAAATTCACATGGAACCACAAAAGACCCATAATAGCTAAAGCAATCTTAAGAAACAAGAACAAAGCTGGCATAATATCTGATCTCAAATTATGTTTCAAAGGTATAGTAATGAAAACAGTATGGTACTGGCATTAAAAACAGACACCTAGACCAATAAGACAGAAAGAGAATCTAGAAATAAGCCCATATATATATATTCAACTAATCTCCATCAAAGGTGCCAGGAATACACGAGGAGAAAATAGCCTCTTCATATAAATGGTGTTGTGAAACTGGATATGGACATGCAAAATAAAAAAAATTGAACTCATCTTTTACCAAAAAAATTAACTCAAAGTAAATTAAAGAATTGAGTATAGACCTAAAATTGTAAAACTCCTAGAGGAAAACATAGGTGAAAACCTTTTAGACATTATCTTGGCAATGACTTTTTTGGCTATGACACCAAAAGCACAGGCAACAAAGCAAAAATTAATATTTGTGACTATATCAAGTTAAAATTTTCTGCACAGAAAAATAAACAACAAAATGAAATGCAACCCATAAAATGAAATAAAATATCTGCAAACCATATATCTCATAAGAAGCTATTATCCAAAATATATTAAAAATTCATACAACTCAATATTATAAAGAGGTATTGCCTGATTAAAAAGTGAGAAGTGAGGAAGAATAGACATTTTCCAAGAAAGATATTGAAGTGAGCAATAGGCATATGAAAAGTGCTCAATACCTCTAGTCACTAGGAAGATGTAAATCAAAACCACAATGATATATTACTTTATATCTGCTAGGAGGGCTATTATCAAAAATACAAATGATAACAAGTATTGTTGAGAACATGAAGAAAAGGAAGCCCTTGTAAATCGTTGGTCAGAAAGCAAATTGGTACAATCATTATGGAAAACAGTATAAAGTTTCCAAAAAAAAATAAAAAAACAGAACTACCATATAATCCAGTAATCCTCCTTCTAGATATATATTCAAAGGAGTTGAAATAAGGATCTTGAAGAGATATCTCTACTCTCATGGTCACTGAAACATTATTTATAATAGCCAAGATACGCAAACAACCTAAGTGTCCATCAGTGGATGAATGGATAAAGAAAATGTGAAATATTCACACACACACACACATATATATATACACACACATACATGCATACACAATGGAATGCTATTCAAACTTAAAGGAAATCCTTTCATCTGCAACAACATGGATAAACATCAAAGACATTATGCTAAGTCAAATAAATCAGACACTGAAAGATAAATACTGCATGACATAACTTATGAGGGGAATCTAAACAATTCAAACTCTTAGAACTAGAATGGTGGTTACAATGGTTTGGTAGAGTGGTGATTCAATGGAGAGATGTTGGTCAAAGGGTACAAACTTTTAGTTACACCTGAATAAATTCTGGAGTTCTAGTGTACAGCATGATTACTATAGTTAATAATGATATACTTTAAATTTGCTAAGAGAGATCTTAAATGTTTTCATCAAAATAAACATAACTATTTGAGATGATATATGAATTGCTTATTTGGATTATGGTAATTCTTTTATAATGTATACATATATTAAATCATTATACACATCTTAAATATATATAGTTTTTATTTGTCAATTAGACCTCAATACAGCTAGAAAAAAAATCAAAATAAAGGCAACCTACATTCTTGGATTGAGACTTAATATTGTTCAGATGTCAATACTACCCAGAGAAATCTACAGATTCAGTGCAATCCCTATAGAATCCCAACAGCCTTGTTTGCAAAAATGATAAAAGCAATTCTCACATTTATATGAAATTTCAAGGGACTCAATAGCCAAAATAATCTTACAAAAGAAAAAAAACTGAATGGCTCATGCTTCCTGATTTCAAACCCTATTACAAAGCAACAAATTCAAAACAGTGTGATACCAGAATAATACATATATAGATTAATGGAATAGAACTGAGAGTCCAGAAGTAAACCATGAATCTATTGCCAATTAATTTTTGGCAAGGGTGTCGAGATCATCACTGGAAAAGAATGGACTTTTTAACAAATTGTGCTGGAATATCTGGATATCCACAGGCAAAATAATAAATTTTGAGACCTGCCACACATACATAAAAAGTACCTCAAAATAGTTCAATCTAAATACAAGTGCTAAAACCATAAAACTAATGGTGAAGAAAACTTAGTAGTATATATTCATGACAAATCTATTGGATTTGTCAATGGATTCTTAGATATGACACCCAAAGCATGAGAAACAAAATAATAAAATAGATAAATTACACCTCATAAAATTAAAACATTTTTTGCATCAAAGGACATTATAAATAAAATGAAAAGACAATTGCAGAATGGGAGAAAATATTTGCAATTCATCCATATTATAAGGGTCTAGTAAAGAGAGTATAAAAAGAACTTATAATGCAATTGCAAAAGGACAAACAACCTGATTAAAATATAAGCAGAGGACTTAAATAGACATTTCTCCAAAGAAAATATACAAATGGCCAACACATACATGAAAAGATGCTCAATATCTTTAGTCATTAGGGAAAAGTAAATCAAAACCACAATGAAGTACCACTTCATACCCAATAGGATAGTTACAAGTAAAAAGAAAAAAAATGGAAAATAAGTCATCGTGAGAAATTGGAGAAATGGAAATATTTCTACATTGGTGAGGGGAATATAGAATGGTTCGGCTATATGGAAAAAATAATTTGGTGGTTCCTCAAAAATCTAACAGAATTACCATATAATCCCATAATTACAATCCTAGACATGTATCCAAAAGAGCTGGAAATGGAAATGAACTCAAGAAATGGACTCAAGAATTGGAATTGGAAATGGACTCAAACAAGTACATGCTGTAAGTACACAGCAGCACTATTCACAAGAGCCAAATGGTGGAAACAACAGAAATGTTCATCGGTGGATGAATGGATACTCAAAATGTGACATATACATACAATGGAATATTATTCAGCATCAAAAGTGATGATACATGCTATTATATGAATGAATCTTGAAAACATGCTGAGTGAATGAGGCCAGACACAAAATATTACATACACTATGATTCCATTTAAATGAAATAGGCAGAATAGGTAAATCCATAGAGAGGGATAGCTGATTAGTGATTGCCAGGGAGAGGAGAAAATGAAGAATAACTATTTGTGGATACAGAGTTCCTTTTGGAGTGATGAAAATATTTTAGAACTAGACAGAGGTGATAGTTGCACAACACTGTAAATGTATTAAATGCCATCAAATTATCTAATTAGAAATACATTAATTTTATGTTATGCAAATTTCACCTTTTATTTGACAATAGCTCATAAACATCGAGAGTATTCTGGAATATATTTAAACTATAATATATAAGCATTCATTGAATGACTTTTTGAAAAAAAAAATGGCCTGCCCCAACTTACATGTTTAAGAATTGTAATGTATCTCTCTCATGTTTAGCTGAACATCTTAGTCCTTTCTTTATTGGATTTGTGCATAATATTTAATAAAATTTGAATAATAAAACAAAAAATATTAATGCTTAGGGTTTTCAGATGTGGTTTATTACTTGGATTATGAATAGTGTTAAAATGAAGATTTTTCTTTATATTTTGATTGTGCAGCCATAATAAGAGAAGTAGGTGGCTGATATTCACCAAGTTAACTTATTGATATGTGCTGTGTCATTATTATGTGAGCTTTTAAAGTTAGTGCAACATAATGCAAAGAAAGTGTTACAATGAAAAGTAAGGCATGCCATTTTCGGTATCTGTAAGACTGTAGAAACCAATACATATTATATTTCTCATTATTGTAGTCAGGCCATGAAAATATGTGTATGTGTTTTCTCACCAGAAAATTTGCAAAGCTGAGAACATTTTACCAGATACAGTAATATTGCTTAAAAAATCATTACCTTCACTGCTCAGGGAAATAAGAGAGGAAACAAACAAATGGAAAAACATTTCATGCTCATGGATAGGAAAAATCAATATTGTGAAAATGGCCATACTCCCTAAGGTGATTTACAGATTCAATGCTATTCTCATCAAGCTACCACTGACTTTCTTCACAGAATTAGAAAAAACTACTTTAAATTCCACGTGGAATCAAAAAAGAGCCCATACAACCAAGACAATCCTAAGCAAAAAGAACAAAGCTGGAGGCATCAGCTACCTGACTTCAAACTATACTACAAGGCTATAATAACCAAAACAGCATGGTACTGGTAACAAAACAAATATACAGACCAATGGAACAGAACAGAGGCCTCAGATATAATACCACACATCTACAACCATCTGATATTTGACCAACCTGACAAAAACAAGCAATGGGGAAAGGATTCCCTATTTAATAAATGGTGTTGGGAAAACCAGCTAGCCATATGCAAAAAACTGAAACTGGACCCCTTCCTTATACCTATATAAAAGTTAATGCAAAATGGATTAAAGACTTAAACGTAAAGCCTAAAACCATAAAAATCCTAGAAGAAAACCTAGGCAATACCATTCAGGACATAGACATGCACAAAGTCTTCATGTTTAAAACACCAAAAGCAATGGCAACAAAAGCCAAAATTGACAAATGGGATCTAATTAAACTAAATGGCTTCTGCACAATAAAAGAAACTACCATCAGAGTGAACAGGCAATCTAGAGAATGGGAGAACATTTCTGAAATCTATCCATCTGACAAAGGGCTAATATCCAGAATCTACAAAGAACTTAAACAAATTTACAAGAAAAAAAAAAAACAACCCGATCAAAAAGTGGGCAAAGGATATGAATAGACACTTCTCAAAAGAAGGCATTTATGCAGCCAACAAACATGAAAAAAAGCTCATCATCACTGGTCATTAGACAAATATAAATCAAAACCACAATGAAATACAATCTCATGCCAGTTAGAATGGCGATCATTAAAAAGTCAGGAAACAACAGATGCTGGAGAGGATGTGGAGAAATAGGAACACTTTTACATTGTTGGTGGGAATGTAAATTAGTTCATCCATTGTGGAAGACAGTGTGGTGATTCCTCAAGGACCTAGAACCAGAAATACCATTTGACTCAGGAATCTCATTACTGGGTATATACTCAAAGGACTATAAATCATTCTACTATGAAGACACATGCACATATATGTTTGTTGAAGCACTTTTCACAATAGCAAAGACTTGGAACCAACCCAAATCCCTATCAATGATAGACTGGATAAAGAAAATGTGGCATATATACATCATGGAATACTATGCAGCCATAAAAAAGGATGAGTTCATGTTCTTTGCAGGGACATGGATGAAGCTGGAAACCATCAGCAGACTAACACAGGAACAGAAACCCAAACACCGCATGTTCTCACTAATAATTGGGACTTGAACAAATAGAACACATGGACACAGGGAGGGTAACATCACACATGGGGGCCTGTGGGGGGGTTGGGGGCTAGGGAAGGGATAGCATTAGGAGAAATACCTAATGTAGGTGGCAGGTTGATGGGTGCAGCAAATCACCGTGGCATGTGTATACCTATGTAACAAACCTGCACATTCCAAATATGTATCCCAGAACTTAAAGTATAATAATAAAAAATTATTACATTCTTTTGGTATGCTTAATTTTTTTCACAAACTAATCAATTATTTATTTGTTTGTTTTTTCTTAATTTACTTTTAGTGATAAATAATATATATTCATTGTTACAATATGTGTTGATTTATGTATACATTGTGGAATGGCTAAATTAAGCTAATTAACATTCTGTTATCTCACATACTTGTCATTTTGTGGTGCTGAGAACACTTAAAATCTACTCTCTAAGCAATTTTCAAGTATACAATGTATCGTTATGATAATTATTATCACTATGTACACCATGCTAGTTGTACAATAGATCTCCTGAACTTTTTTCTATCTATGTGAAACTTTTTAGCCTTTGACCAACATCTCCCCAGTCTCTCCTCACCATCAACTCCCAGCCAAGGCCCTGGTAACCACCATTCTACTTGGCTTCTATGAGTTTAAATCTACTTTCAAATGCTATAGTCCATGATAGACAGCTTCCCTTTCCTTTAAAGCATTAAGAGATCGAGTAAGGGCAAGTAAATATTTTCAGGTTAAATACAATTACTTCAAAACTAAAAGGAATCACAACAAAACTTTTATTTTACAAAATTCTGACTCGAAGTTAAATATTCCTATATTTGATTCCTAGAGTTGGAAGGGGTCTTGCATTCACTATGTTCAATATGTGTTTTCTATAAAAGCAAAGATCAAGATCTAAAAATGTTACATGGCATTGCTGTGGTAATACAGATTATTAGTGATGAAAACTGGATTAGAACTAGGGTTGTTTAACTGAGTTCAAAACACTGAAAATGTCTATCCTAAAATAATTACCACAGTCTTTCAAACCTAAGGCAGAGAATATATAAGTGATGTGAGCAAGGTTATACCGAGTTATCAAGAGACATTTGAAACAAGATATAGATTATAAATATGTTTGATGTTCTCTCTAAACTGCTGTTATTTGTAGATATTTTAAACCTAAGGAGGTCATTAAATAAAACATTTAGAAAGCAAATGACATTATGATATACAGTACTAGTCTTTCTTCCAATTGTGGAAGAAGCAGAGATAAAAAATTACCTTACAGAAGACATTATTCCAATAATAAGAAATGTAACAGAAGTTATCTTCTAATGATATGAGATGAATATATTTCCAAAATCAGAAGGGCAAATAACTCCATTTGTGGAGTTTGATGAGCCCTAAAATGTGGGTAATTTCCCTTTATCTATGAAGACTACTGTAAAAGTTCCAACATTAGTTTCCATTTGGTCCTCTTTTCAATATGATTAACTGAAGTATTTAGGTGGTTATTATGAGGTCTAATAAGGAGTTTGTGGGTGAAATTTATAGTCTTTTAGAGGAACGCTTATGCTTGCTGAGCTGCGAAGCTAACGTTGCAAGGCAGTAGACACAAATGACTCGTGACAGGCAGTACAGTTTTCTAAGAGATTACAATCCACTTCCGGGACCTGGAGGGTGTTACTGAGAAGGCAATGCCATTTATAGGCAAGAGTTTTATACCAGATCAAGAGATATGCATGAGCAGTTGAAATCTCAAGATCTCATCTGTCAACTTGGACTGTTATGATTCTTCAAGTCCCACATGATGCTTCCAGGAATTAATTTCCAAGGCCTGTATTGTATCTTGCTGGGTTTGCACCCACCATAATTGCAGACTCAGGAAAATGCAATGCAGGCTTTGGGAATCCATTTATGGAGTTATAGAAAATAACTGAAAAGTAACAAGCAACTAATGAAAAATCCAAACTCCAGTTTGGCCAGCTATGGAAGTCATCTGTGTATCTCACTTTTATTGTTTTTCCTTTTTTTTTTTTAGACAGGATCTCATACTGTCACACAGGTTGAAGTGCACAATCATAGCTCACTGATGCAGCCTAGAACTCCTGGGCTCACGTGATCCTCCTACCTCAACCTCCCAAGTAGCTGGGACCACAGGTGTGCACCAACTTGCCCAGTTAATTAAAAAAAATTTTTTGTAGATACAGGGTCTCCCTATGTTGCCCAGGCTGGTCTCAAACTCCTGTGCTCATGTGATCCTCCTGCTGTGGCCTCCTAAACTGCTTGAACTGTAGGTGTGAACCACTGATCCTGGCCTGTGTATCTCACCTTCTGAATCTAAATTTCTTATTTTTAAATAATTAATATTAATTTACCATTTTTAACTTTTCATCTCAACTACTTTACCTAACTGGATGATTCTGTATCTCTTGAATATACTGACTTCATTTCCTTTGGATATATATATCCAAAGAATACTGAGTATACCCATTTGTAGGACTGCTGGATAATACGGTAGTTCTATTTTAATTTTTTGTGGAACCTCCATACTGTTTTCCACAGTAGCTGTACCAGTCTACATTTCCACCAACACTGTTGAAGGGTTTCCTTTTCTCCACACTCTCACCAATATTTGTTATATTTTGTCTTTTTCATAACAGCTCTTGTAACTGGAGTGAGGTGATATTTTATTGTGTTTTGATTTGTATTTCACTAATGATGAGTGATTTTGAACATTTTGTCATATACCTGTTGGTCATTTCTGTGTCTTCGTTGCCACATTTATTCAAAGCACTTATTCACAATAGCCAAGATGTGGAATCAACTGAAGTGTTCATTAATGGATAAATAGATAAAGAAAATATATATGCACATAATGAAATATTGCACACAAGGAAACACTATTAATCTATAAAAAAGAAAATCTTGTCATTTTCAACAAGGATGAACCTGGAGGATATTATAAATGAAAAAATACAGACATAGAAAGACATACAGCATACGATCTCACTCTAAAAAAGCTGATATCGTAGAATCACAGATTAAACTAGTGGTTACCAAAGGCTAGGAAGATTAGGGTGGAGGAGAGAATGGGGAAAGGTTGGTCAATGGGTACAAAGTTACAGTTACATAGGAAAAATAAGTTCTGGTGTTCTATTGAACAATAAGGTGATTACAGCTAACAATAATGTGTTGTATATTTCAAAATACCCAGAAGAAAGGCTTTTAAATGTTTTCACCACAAAGAAATGATAAATGTTTGAGGTGATAGATTTGCTAATCATCATGATTTGATCATTACAGTTTGTACAAATGTATCAAAATATCACGTTGTACCCCAGAAATATTTACAATTATTATATATCAATTAAAAATAAAATAAAGCTGCAAAATCAATGGTTTTGTTTGTTTGCTTCAAATATAGTTATGAATATGCATATCCTTACAAGTTATCAAAATCCATTTCTATCTTATTTTCTTTTATTCATCTTTCTTCGCCAAATGAATACAGTTCAAACGGTAAAATATCACTATTAAAAATATTATACATGGATGCACACCACACACACATACACATGCACATGCTATTACAAATTAATCAACAACATTAAAAACATATATTTTAGATAAGTCAATGTAAGTCCATTGATTGTAACAAATGTACCACTGTGGTATAGGATGTTGATAGTGGAGAAAGCTGGTGGTGGGGGGAGCTTATATGGAAACTCCTTGTACTTTCCATTTTACTTCGCTGTTAACCTAAAACTGCTGGAAAAGAGTAAAAATAATAAAAATAATAATATATAAAAGTATATCCATACAAAATTTAGATTTTTAGAATGTCTAACACTTAGTTTCACCTAATATTTTAAATATCCTTTTTAATATTTTTTTAATCCTCAGGTTCTGCTATCATTGTTATCCTACCTCTGCCAAGCAAAATATTTGTTGAAGAAACTACATAATTTATACTGTAGTTTCCTACAATTTGCACGTTTGTTTCTACGAAGAAGTCAACTAAAATCCTATTGATATAATGCTATACATTTTGCATGTGTTTTTCACTTAATATTTTTCTGATTTGATCTGCTTGTTCCTTGCATTACAATTAAAATCCTAGATGGGAATGATGTCTCTAATGGACCACATACTGAGATACAGGGTTAAGAAAGCCATGTCAGACTAGTCATATGTGTACCCGGAATTTCTTGAGGTCAAAATCTGAAGGAAATAGCTGAGTTGCCTTAGGTGAGAGCCAGCAATCTTTATGAAACTTCAGTGCCAATAAGCAAGGCAAAGAATCTTAAAGGGAAACTAATACTGAATTTAAAGCTATGGACAATTCAGAGACTACAGTATGCAGATGAAGGAAGTATTTGAACAAGCAATTTAGGAGATTCATAGCCAGTACCAAACAGATTACATTACAAAGCATCTGAAAACTCTGAAGATTCTAAAATTTGCTGGTATAAACATGAAGGTATACATATAATAAAAGTGGCCTGTTGTTTAAAAAAATTGTAAATGCTCTCTGTTGTAAGAGAGCCATGAAAAGCATGTTTAATGTACAATAAATAAGAAAAGAATCTTCGAAGCCTTTTTTGTTGATAATTTTTTTCTACCCTAGTCTTAACTAGTGCATTAATAACCCAGACAATACGACACACGCTGAACAGCTGGCCTGAATAACCTGTGAAGTCCCGGAATTCTCTTAAGTGGTGCTGACTTGCAGCACTAGCCCAGTGAAATCTAGGCTGTCTACAGCGAATGTGAGGTGCAAAAGATATTCCCATTTGTCTGACCCTCTGGGGAATAATTTTGTTGGAACCTACAACAAACTGAGCTTCTCTGTTACAGAAATGGTATTTCAGTCATCAAACTACGCTCAGTTAGCATGCGGTTTGCTTGCCAAGAAAAACCTCCTTGTCTCAAATTCTAGGATTCTCCTTATACTTAAATTTTACATCTGGTAGCAGATTGGAAGCTTTTCCACTCCTCCATCATTTTCGCTTTTTCTGGAAAAGGGGACTATTAACCACCTAATTCAAACTAATATTATCACTTTTTACAGAATTAATGAGATGCTATAATTGCCGACACTGTTTACCTGCTACTCTGGGAGTATATTTCAAAGGCACATGAATTAGCCAACACCAGCTTTATAATTAGCGTGTGACAACTTTAATTTCAACGGCATGTTTAATCAACAGCAACAGATGGAAGTGCGCCTGGTGGTAAGTCACCCCCTTCACAGCTCTTGATAGCGGGTGTGTCCCGCTAGCTCTGAGTTATAAGCTATTTAGCATAGCAAGTGCTAAACTACTGGGAATATTCTCAGTCCTTTTTGGAGTATCAGAGTTGCACTACCCCAAAATAATTAAAATCACTGACATATATTGACTACTTACCACATACTAAACACTATTCCCATTTTAATTTAATGAAAACTCCAAACAACTCAAATTAGCTAATTTTAATATTCCCATTTTACAGGTGAGGAAATTGAGCCTAGAAAGCCAAAACAACCTGACTGGGGTTCCACAGCTCACAAGCAGTAGGGCCACGATTTAGCTTCAGGCTCTTACGCTCTTAGTCTCCATGCTATTCACCACTATGACCATGGTATCATAAAAGCCATTTGGTGGTCTTCAGTTGCGTGTGCTGTTTACTGTAGTGATTTGGATCTGCTAACTAAACTATTATTTTGTGGATTTCATGATTATAGGACCCATGATTATGGAAAGTTTTCTAACTTTCCTCCTCACTAGGGCCAGTCATATGCACAGGAGACAGAAGTTTGCTGCTTGGCAAGCATAACTCATGCTTGAGTTATTCAGCTACTTCAGATTCAGTCACTGTGTAAAGTTTTGACTCCTCATTATCTGTCACAAATAGTGGCTCCTGGCCATTTTCAGGAACCCCCTCAGTGATGCCATTTCTACTTCCCACCAGACTAATGAGCATATGTTCACCAAGGCTCCATAAGTGCAGAACCTTGCGGCTTTACCCTCAGCCCTTAAAAGACATCACATCATGGGTTTTGCCACAGAAGGATAAGCGTGATCCATCTTGTTCAGATCCTCATCTTCAAAATTATCAGACCTAAGATACAAAACTACACAAAGGAAAGGGATCCCAAGGTTTAGGGATTTGGAGTACTTTGATCTGTCATTATCAAAGCAACAAATATCCTTCTATCTTTAGACAATATAAATTATACACATCTTGATTCAGAACCAGAGGTTTTCAAAATTTTTCTAGACGTTGAGATTACTTGGGGAATGTAAACAATACAAAACTACAGAAACTATGCCACGTCCTTATTCAACATCTCTGGGAGTGGGGTTGTTAAAACCTCTCCATGTAATTCTTACGGATAGCCAGGGTTGAAATGTAGCTTTAGCCATTCAAATACAGAAGCTTTTAAAATGTTTTTAGGAAGAAAAAATGTGTATTTGTATTAAAGCCCAAAACATAAGGGTAAATTGCTTATAACAGTCATTTCTCAGGCATAGAAAGTCTATCCTGAAAAGGCTCTGGCCCCTGCAACGATTCGGAAGCAAGTTGTCCCCTCTAATAAGTAATGTGAGTTGTTAGAGAAATGACAACTGTGATGTGATCAGAATAGATACCACCTTCATTTCTTTCTAATTAACTCCATGAAAGACCTTTTATTAGTTTTAGAAATACATAAATATCTAGCTGCTAGAAATGGTTTAACATCCCTAGAATTAGATTATTTTTTATTATTGTTCCTCAAAGATCATTGGCTTTTTCTCCTTCACATAGAACACATTGCAATTCTAGGTGGCTCAGGTTCATTGCTTGCTTTTGCCACCCTTGGTGAAATGTTTGAAAACATGAAGATAAGACAACACATATGCACACAAACACACACACACAACTATATCAGTGTTAGTGTATTAGTCCGTTTTCACATTCCTGATAAAGATATACCCAAGACTGGGCAATTTAAAAAATAAAGAGGTTTAATTGGTCTTACAGTTCCACGTGGCTGGGGAAGCCTCACAATCATGGCAGAAGGCAAGGAGGAGCAAGTCCTGTCTTACATGATGGCAGCAGGCAAAGAGAGAATGAGGAAGACGCAAAAGCGGAAACTCCTGATAAAAACCATCAGATCTCGTGAGACTTATTCACTACCACAAGAACAACATGGGGGACACTGACCCCATGATTCAAATTATCTCCCACTGGCTCCCTTCCACAACACGTAGTAATTACGGGAGTACAATTCAAGATGAGATCCTGGGTGGGCACACATGAGCCAAAACATATAAGTTAGTATCAAATAAACTTTAGATAAACTCTTGATTTACGAATAGGAAAACATTCATTATCTTTCAAGTAGCTTGATACATTCATAATATAAAATTTACATTAATTCAATTTAATTGATTCACTGACAGTCTTGAATATTACATTAATGAAACAACCCAAATGTAATTTTTAAAGTATCATGCAATGTCCTTGAATTTGAATAATAAAAAATCCTTTCATTCCTAGTTGGTCTGTGGATGAAAACAGTCTACAAGCTAAAATTATAAAATAATTTTTCTTAAACAAAGTTAAATGAATCACAAAAATCACTATTTTGCACCATGTACTCAATAATTAACATTAAAAACATTCTACTTGGTCATGTAAAATATTGTTGCCTGTGCATTGCCTTGCCACAGAAAACAAACTTTTATAAAGCTTAAGGGGGAGAAAATCACTTAAATGTAACAATATGAATATGATTCCCAGCATTTATTGTCTTTTTTTTCACATTGTTTAAAAGATGAAATGATGCCTTGATGTGAATCTTTCTGCTTTGCTTCATTCTCCCTGGGCCACATTTATGTGTTCAACCGCACAGGGTTCAGCACTTGGAAGGGTCCATACTTGGTTTACCATTTTTCCCGATCTTGAATTTCTTAATAATTATGAATAAAGGGCTGCACACCCTCATTTTGTACTAGGCCCTGTAAGTTATGTAGCCATCCTCCTTCACTCTTGCTGATCTACCACTCTTACAACTACCAGGTTTATGGCTCTGATATCTCTGTCTTATATTTTCTGGCTCAAAAAATGTTGAAGCAGAATTTGACCCTCAGCTCTCCTAGAACAAGCCTAACATTTGTTTTCTCTTGCCCTGTGCTTCAAACAACTTCCGGTGGTCTGTGTGCCTCAACAACCTTGGGAAACCTGAGGACACATTCTGTATTCAGAATCATGGCTCTAACCTGTGATACCCTGTGGGGTTTTCTTGCACTTCCCCTCATCATCTGCCCTAGCAATTGATAAAAGTAAGACCTTTATTTAAAAAATGGAAATGATTTTACTTACCGAAAGCATCCTATTTATTAAAAAATGTAGAAAGCAAAGTGGCATATGCTTTTTTCTGGTATCTCCACCTTCCTTTTGTATGCTTTTTTTGTTATAACATTATACACATGGTTTAATATTTACTTCATAGTTAGTATTCTTTTTTCATTGAAACTAAGAAGTTCGTGCCTAAGACTGGCTATTTCGATTCCTCTTATACTGGTTCTATTAGCTTCAGTCCCAGAAGATGATATGTTCTTGTTATTTCCTCAAATTCTAGTCAGATCCTCCATTTCCAATCGTACTATATTCTTGTGGGATACATGTACAAAATCATTATAATGGTTAAAGCAATTTTTTCTATGAAAAAAGGCATACATTCGGTATTGTTAAAAGGTAATTTCTTAAAGCTAACCACCTCATTGGATCTTAGGGGACTGAAGTATCTTCACCTAAACAAAATAGTCAGCACACACACACACACCCACCCCACAAAATCCCCAACTGGAACATTAATGGTGAACACATTCAATATGTTTAGTATTTTTAGCCATGCTAGCAAATCGAGCTTTCAGAAAAAAGTGTGAAAACAAGAAAATCAAACCACAGCCATTTTATTAATATAAACAAACTTTAGTATGTGAATTGTCCCAATTCAAAAGCAGTTTGTAAATGTTTTATTGAGGAAATCATTTAAATCTCATGGAAATATGTGTAAGAAATAAGAGCAAATATGTGTGAGAACAAATGTAGGTGATACAGGGGATATATGAATAACACACAGGTTGCAAACATGTTTCTCTATTATTGAGGTTATATTCAAAATAAAACTCACTATCCCCAAAATAATTGGCATTCATTTTCTCTTGGACTATAAATGTTCTCATTTTGTTTACTCATCAAACTACATCCGTCATAATTATTCATAATAACCTCCCTGGTGTTATTAAATGGAAAAGATCTTTATGCAAATAATTGTTATATGTATCTGAAATTATATGATCTGCAGAGTGGTTTTATATGATGACAAACTCTGAAATTACACATTTTCTGGAACTTCTACCTACACTTGTGTCTGTGCATGTGTTTGTGTGTTTTTTTGGAGTGCTCATCTACTCAAACACCCTAACACATTATGAAATACTTTAATTACTGAAATGGTCTGATTCCATCATTTAAACAAGTCAAAGTTAATTTCAACATAGCCCTTGACCACATGACATTGATGTGATCAGAATAGATTGGACAATTCTCTGAGAAAAGACACTTACTTATCCCTATGTTATTATCATCATGTATTTCTCTCAAGTTCACGGTTATTGACCAGACTGATTATAGGAGCAGCAAAGAACATCACTCCAAAAACCATTTTATTGGCTAACTTTGGTTAATTTCTCAGCTCTTTTCTTTTGCTTTCATCATTTTTAATTGACATATAATAATCCCACATATTTATGGGGTAGAATGTGACATTTTGATATGTGTGTACAATGCGTAATGGTCAAATCTGGGTAATTAGCTTATCCATCACCTCAAACACTTGACATTTCTTTGTGTTGAGAACACTCAAAATCTGCTTTTCTAGTGATTTAAACATATACAATAAATTGTTGTTAATTACAGTCACCCTATAATGCTACATTTATGAATACATGAAAAGTATAAAAGGACTGGTAGAACAGACACATGAAGGAGAAAGAGAAAATATTCAAAACCCTATAACAGCAGAACACCACTAAACCACAATGATAAACAATAAGAGAGGAAGAAAGGAACAAAGCATATATTAATACAAAACAACCAGAACACTATTAACAAAATTTCAGGAGTAAGTCTTCAACTACCAGTAATAACCTTGAATGTAAATAGATTAAATGCCCCCACTTAAAAGATTGACTGGCTCAAGTAATTTTTTAAGGATCCAATTATATGCTGCCTACAAGAAAATTACTTCCTCTAAAGAGACACAAATAAATGGAAAAATAAGAAATAGAAAAATACAGCCCACGCAAACAGAAGTCAAAATGGAGCAGCAGTAGCTATACTTAGATAAGCAGACTATAAATAAAATAACTGTAATTATACAATGACAAAGAAATAAATCAGCAAGAAGATATAACAATTATAAATATGTATTCACTGAACACCAGAGCACACTGATATATAAAGCAAATATTGTTAGATCTGAAGGAATATATAGACTCCAATACTACAATAGTTGGGAATTTCAATGTCCCACTCTCAGCATTAGGTCATCTGGACAGAAAATCAACAAAGAAACATTAAAGTATGATTTAGATGAAATGGATCAAACAGACATTTAAGGAACATTTTATGCAACAACTACAGAATACACATTCTTTTCCTTAGCACGTGGAACATTATCTAGGACTGGCCACGTGTTAGGCAACGAAACAAGTCTCAACAAATTTAAAAGATTTAGAATTATATTATGTATCTTTTCTGACCACAATGGAATAAAACTAGAAATCAATAAACAGAAAATTTTAAATTGTACAAACAGACAATACAATCTTGAACGACCAATATGTCAATGAAGAAATTAAGAAGGAACAAATAAAAATGTAAATATAACTTATAGAATACAGCAAATATGCTATTAAGACGGAAATGCATAGGAATAAATGCCTACACCAGAAAAGTAGAAAGATTTCAAATAAACAATATAATGATGCATCTCAAGGAACTAGAAAAGCAAGAACAAAGCAAATTCAAAGTTAGTAGAAGAAAAGAATAATAAAGATCAGAACAGAAATAAACAAAATTGAGACTAACAAACCAATAAACATTTCAATAAGAAAAGTTGTTCTTTTGAAAATATTAAAAAAGTGAGAAACCACTGGCTAGATTAACCAAGAAAAAAGAAAACAAGACCCCCCAGAATGAAAGTAGAATCCAAAAAAAAAAAAAAAAAAGACATTACAACCAACACCACAGAAATACAAAGGATCATTAGAGACTATTACAAACAACTATATATGAACAAATTTTTGGACACATACAACCAAACCACATACAACCAAAATTGAACCAATGGCAGGCAAATTATCTGAGATCAGGAGTTCAAGACCAGCCTGACCAACATGGTGAAACCCTGTCTCTTCTAAAAAAAGATAAAAAATTAGCCAGGGGTGGTGGTGCACACCTGTAATCCCAGCTACTTGGGAGGCTGAGATGGGAGAATCACTTGAACCTGGGAGGTGGAGGTTGCAGTGAGCCGAGACTGCGCCATTGTACTCCAGCCTGGGCAGCAAGAGAGAAACTCCATCTCAAAAAAAATAAAAATAAAAATAAAATACTAGTAAACCAAATCCAGCAACACATTAAAAAGATCATTCATCATAATCAAGGAACATTTATCAGAAAGACACAAGGATGGTTTTACGTAGACAAATTAATGAACATGATATATCAAATCGACAGAATAAAGGACGAAAACCATATCATCTTGCTAAATGCTGAAAAAGCATCTGAAAAAAATACAACATTCCTTCATGATAAATACACTCAACAAGTTAGGCAAAGAAAAAAACACCTCAACACAATAAAGGCCATAAATGATAAACCCATAGCCAACATCATATTTAATGAGGAAAAGTTAAAAGCTTTTTCTCTAAGATCTGGAATAAGACATAAATGCCTACTTTTACCACTTTTATTCAACATAGTGCTAGAAGTCCTAGCCAGAACAGTTAGGCAAGAGAAAAAAATAAAGAGCATCCAAATTGAAAAAGGATGAAGTTAATTTGTCTCTGTTTGCATATGGCATAATCTTATACATACAAGACCCTAAAATCTCTTCAAAAATTTCTTAGAAATGATAAGCAAATTCAGTAAAGTTGCAGGATACAAAATCAACATAGGAAAAAAAAGCAGTGTTTCTATACACCAAGAATAAACTACTTTTAAAAAATCAAGAAAGTAGGCCGAGCACGGTGGCTCACACCTGTAATCCCAGCACTTTGGGAGGCTGAGGCGGGCAGATCACCTGAGGTCAGGAGTTCGAGACCAGCTTTGCCAACATGGTGAAACCCCGACTCTACTAAATATATAAAAATTAGCCAGGCATGATGGTGGGTGCCTATAATCCCAGCTATAGGCTGGGGTAGGAGAATCGCTTGAACTCAGGAGGCAGAGGTTGCAGCGAGCCAAGATAGCACCACTGCACTCCAGCCTGGGCAGCAGAGTGAGACTTCATCTCAAAAAAATAAAATCAAGAAAGTAATCTCAGTAGCTATAAATAAATAAAATACCTAGAAATAAACTATCACAAGAAGCAAATGCTCTCTGCAAGAACAACTACAAAACCCTAATTAAAGACCTTAAAGAGAATACACACACACACACACACACACACACACACACACAAAATCCCATGTTCATAAATAGGAAGAATATTTTGAAAATGAGCCTACTACCAAAAGCAATCTAAAAGTTTAATACAATTCTTAACAAAATACCAATTATATTCTCTACAGAACTAGAAAAAGCAATCCTAAAATTTGTATGGAACCAGGAGAGATCCTGAATAGCCAAAGCAAACCTAAGTAAAAAGAACCAAGCTGGAAGCATCACATTTCAAAAGTTCAAAATATACTCAAAGCTGTAGTAACTAAAAGAACATGGCACTGCATAAAAACAGACCCATAAGCCAATGTAACAGAATAGAGTATCCAGAAACAAATCCACAAGTTTAAAGCCAACTGCTTTTCAACAAAGGTGCCAAGAACATTTACTGGGGTAGGGACAATCTCTTTAATAAATGATACTGGAAAACCAGATATTTATATGCAGAAAAATAAAATTAGACCCCTATATCTTACCATATACAAAAATCAACTCAAAATCTATTAAAGACTTAACTGTAAGACCTAATGCTATTTAACTACTAGAATAAAACTCAGGGAAATGCTTGAAGACATTGGTCTAGGCAAAGATTTTATGGAAAAGAACTCAAAAGCATAGAAAACAAAAGCAAACTAGATTAATGTAATTTCATAAAACTAAACAGCTTCTGCACAGCAAAATAAATACCTAGAATATACAATAAACTAAAACAATTCAATAAAAAAACCAGAAATTAGTTTTTTAAAGGACACATGGGCTGAATAGATATGTCTCAAAAGAAATACAAGTAGTTAACAGGTGTATTTTTAAAATGCTCAACATCACTAATCATCAGGGAAATTAAAATCAAAACCATAATGAGATATTCCGTTACTACTGTTATAATGGCTACTATCAAATAAAAAATAAATGCTTGTGAGAATGTGGAGAAAGAGAGACTCTTATACACTATTAGTGGGAATGTAAGTTAGTACAGCCATTATGGAAAATAGGATAGAAGTTTCTCAAAAAACTAAAAATAGAACTACTGTACAATCTCAATAGTGAGTAAATAGAATGAAAGGAAATCAACATAATAAAAAGATATCCGCATTCCCATGTTTAGTGCAGGCTATTTACAATAGTCAAGATACAGACTTAATTGTTTATTGACAAAACAATAGATTTTTTTAAAAATTGTAGCCGGGCGCGGTGGCTCACACCTGTAATTCCAGCACTTTGGGAGGCCAAGGCGGGTGGATTACAAGGTCAGGAGATCGAGTCCATCCTGGCTAACACGGTGAAACCCCGTCTCTACCATAAATACAAAAAAATTAGCCGGGTGTGGTGGCGGGCGCCTGTAGTCCCAGCTACTCGGGAGGCTGAGGCAGGAGAATGGCCTGAACCCGGGAGGTAGAGCTTGCAGTGAGCCGAGATTGCACCACTGCACTCCAGCCTAGGCGACAGAGTGAGACTCTGTCTCAAAAAAAAAAAAAAAAACCGTATATATGCAAAGTGGAATAGCACTTAGCCATAAAAAAAAAGAACAAAATTGTTATTAGTAGCAACATGGATGAATTTGGAGCACATTATGTTAAGTGAAATAAGCCAGGCACAGAAATATAAATATTGCATGTTATCATTCATAAGTGGAAGCTAAAAAAAGTTGATCTCATAGAAGTAGAGAGTAGAATGGTGATTACTAGAGCTAGAGAAGTATAAAAGGAAAGAGGATATCCAAATGTTGTTCAATGGGTAGAAAAGTACACCTAAATAGGAGGAATGAGCTCTATTGTTTAAAAGCACTAAAGAGTGACTATACTTTACAATATAGTTTATTATATATTTTCAGTTTATTACATAATAAAATATATAGCATTATATATTATATAATAAAATATATATTATATAGTATATTATTTATTATAGTATATTTTATTATATATTATATTGTTTATTATATTATTTATTCTATATATTATACATAATATATTTATATTGATATAAATATGTATCATATCATATATTACTAATAATTATAATATTATATATGTATTATATTATTTATATATCAAATTATATTATTTATTATATGTTATATAGCAGAAGAATGGACTTTGGACTTTGAATGTTCCCAATACAAATAAATAATAAATGTTTCAGGTGATGAGTAGGCTAATTAACCTGGTTTGATCATTACACATTGTATACATGTATCAAAATATCACACTCTACGCCATAAATAGGTACAATTATCACATGTTAATCAATAATAAATCCAAAAAATGAAAAAAAAGCTTTGTGAAAACAAGGTCAAATTAAGTGCTATTTAACTTTTCATTTAAATGAATTTGGAAAAGCAAAACAATAGCAATTAGTCAACAATAAAACAGAATTACTAGTTCCATCTCACTAAGCAACTGCCTTGCCAGTCTAACCTTGATTCTATAAAAATGCCATCTTCCCAAAGATGCCACTTTCTTCACTAAGAATCATTGTTTTTGCATCAAAATAAATAGGACTACCATTAAAACTAAACTGGTTTCTAAATGTCTTCATCTGTTACAATGATACACCCTTTCTTTTAAGAATAATAGCCTTAAAAACCTTCTCCAGCAGTCTGATAATAAAAATTAACCCTTTTGTAGCTTGGATATGGAAATTTCAAAAAGCAAACTATTAAAATCAAGTGGCCAAAAGAAAATTATACTTCTGGAGCCTCACTTAGTCTGTGGCACATTCTTAGGTTATTTTCAGTGGTAAAGTATTGTCATTTTTTAGCAAAGATTTGGATTGAAAGAATAGATTACATTTGCCCCCTGGTGTGATTAATAAGAAAATGATCAACCAGTAACATTCCATTCTTTTCATAAAAAATATATTGACATAACATGTGCTCTGTGATTTGTTTTAATTTTATAATTTGTTTTTCACATGTTTTTAAATCAAAACAAAATATAAACAAAGGAAAAGATCAGAATGCATTAGGCAGGTTTTGTTTATTCTATATGCGCACCTACTACATGCGTTCATAAGATGATAGGAAGAATTACTTCAGAGTAATTCCTGGACTCATTTGTTTATCATGCATTATGTTTCATTTTATTGTTATTTTCATATCATGTAATAAAATAATACAACATGCGAAAATTTTCTCCCATTTTGTGGGTTGCCTGTTCACTCTGATGGTAGTTTCTTTTGCTGTGCAGAAGCTCTTTAGTTTAATTAGATCCCATTTGTCAATTTTGGCTTTTGTTGCCATTGCTTTTGGTGTTTTAGACATGAAGTCCTTGCCAATGCCTATGCCCTGAATGGTAATGCCTAGGTTTTCTTCTAGGGTTTTTATGGTTTTAGGTCTAACGTTTAAGTCTTTAATCCATCTTGAATTGATTTTTGTATAAGGTGTAAGGAAGGGATCCAGTTTCAGCTTTCTACATATGGCTAGCCAGTTTTCCCAGCACCATTTATTAAATAGGGAATCCTTTCCCCATTGCTTATTTTTCTCAGGTTTGTCAAAGATCAGATAGTTGTAGATATGCAGCGTTATTTATGAGGGCTCTGTTCTGTTCTATTGATCTATATCTCTGTTTTGGTACCAGTACCATGCTGTTTTGGTTACTGTAGCCTTGTAGTATAGTTTGAAGTCAGGTAGTGTGATGCCTCCAGCTTTGTTCTTTTGGCTTAGGATTGACTTGGTGATGCGAGCTCTTTTTTGGTTCCATATGAACTTTTAAGCAGTTTTTTCCAATTCTGTGAAGAAAGTCATTGGTAGCTTGATGGGGATGGCATTGAATCTATAAATTACCTTGGGCAGTATGGCCATTTTCATGATATTGATTCTTCCTACCCATGAGGATGGGATGTTCTTGCATTTGTTTGTATCCTCTTTTATTTCATTGAGCAGTGGTTTGTAGTTCTCCTTGAAGAGGTCCTTCACGTCCCTTGTAAGTTGGATTCCTAGGTATTTTATTCTCTTTGAAGCAATTGTGAATGGGAGTTCACTCATGATTTGGCTCTCTGTTTGTCTGTTATTGGTGTATAAGAATGCTTGTAATTTTTGTACATTGATTTTGCATGCTGAGATTTTGCTGAAGTTGCTTATCAGCTTAAGGAGATTTTGGGCTGAGACAATGGGGTTTTCTAGATATACAATCATGTCGTCTGCAAACAGGGACAATTTGACTTCCTCTTTTCCTAATTGAATACCCTTTATTTCCTTCTCCTGCCTAATTGCCCTGGCCAGAACTTCCAACACTATGTTGAATAGGAGTGGTGACAGAGGGCATCCCTGTCTTGTGCCAGTTTTCGAAAGGAATGCTTCCAGTTTTTGCCCATTCAGTATGATATTGGCTGTGGGTTTGTCATAGATAGCTCTTATTATTTTGAGATACGTCCCATCAATACCTAATTTATTGAGAGTTTTTAGCATGAAGGTTGTTGAATTTTGTCAAAGGTCTTTTCTGCATCTATTGAGATAATCATGTGGCAAAGGGCTAATATCCAGAATCTACAATGAACTCAAACAAATTTACAAGAAAAAAACAAACCACCCCATCAAAAATTGGGCGAAGGACATGAACAGACACTTTTCAAAAGAAGACATTTATACAGCCAAAAAACATGAAAAAATGCTCACCATCACTGGCCATCAAAGAAATGCAAATCAAAACCACAATGAGATATCATCTCACACCAGTTAGAATGGCAATCATTAAAAAGTCAGGAAACAACAGGTGCTGGAGAGGATGTGGAGAAATAGGAACACTTATACACTGTTGGTGGGACTGTAAACTAGTTCAACCATTGTGGAAGTCAGTGTGGTGATTCCTCAGGCATCTAGAACTAGAAATACCATTTGACCCAGCCATCCCATTATTGGGTATATACCCAAAGGACTATAAATCATGCTGCTACAAAGAGACACGCACACGTATGTTTATTGCGGCACTATTCACAATAGCAAAGACTTGGAACCAACCCAAATGTCCAACAATGATAGACTGGATTAAGAAAATGTGGCACATATACACCATGGAATAGTATGCAGCCATAAAAAATGATGAGTTCATGTCCTTTGTAGGGACATGGATGAAATTGGAAATCATCATTCTCAGTAAACTATCACAAGAACAAAAAACCAAACACCTCATATTCTCACTCATAGGTGAGAATTGAACAATGATAACATATGGACACAGGAAGGGGAACATCACACTCTGGGGACTGTTGTGGGGTGGGGGAAGGGGGGAGGGATAGCATTGGGAGATATACCTAATGCTAGATGACAAGTTAGTGGGTGCAGCGCACCAGCATGGCACATGTATACATATGTAACTAAACTGCATATTGTGCACATGTACCCTAAAACTTAAAGTATAATAATAAAAATAAATAAATAAAAAATAAAATAAAATAAGATAATCCAACATGTGTAACACTACGTTTGTGAATAATAATAAGGCAGCTGATAACTGTGTAATTTCTTGGCAATGAAGAATAAAAACAAGAAAAACAGAGCAGAAAGGAATTTGAAAATAGTCTGTTTGATAAAACATATACACTTGGTGTTGTATACAAGTTAAGTATCCCTTACTCAAAATGTTTGAAACCAGATGTGATTCAAATTTCAATTTTTTCAGATTTTGGAATACTTGCATGTACCTAATGAAATATCTTGAGGATAGACACAAGTCTATACATAAAATTTATTTACTTTTCATATATATGTTAAAAACATAGCCTAAAGGTAATTTAATACAAAGTTTTCATAATTTGTGCATGAAACAAAGTTTGTATACAGTAAGCCATCAGAAACCAAAGGTGGCACTATCACAGCAAACCTTATGGACAATCTGTGGTTGTTTGACACCACCGTCTTTCCTGACTTTGAATTTATATGTTGCCAATAAGCAATCATTTTCTTACAGTTATTTACACATAAGTGCTTAACAGTAAAAAATATGACATACCATTAATGTAGTAAAAAAGTAAAATGATCAGGTTAGCTAAGCAGCACAGTAGCATCCCCAGAACACCTGTATCAGATGTTGAACCACAGCATCCACGAACAATGGCAAGCTTTCAATCTCCACCTACGATGCTGTGCTTTGATTAAAAGTTTATTGTATATGGTATTTTATTTTGTTTGGTGAGGAAAATGTTAGAAGCAGTTGAGGAATCTGGAAGTAAATCATCTAGGGATAAGGAGGCATTCTGCTGGATAGCTCTTTAAAATGTTTCCTCCAGACTCATCTGCCTTATTAACAATGGATTTTGTTTTAGAAATTCTCTTTGATTTTATAAGCTGACAGGATTTCTTGTTCTGTTACGAATGCACCATGCTCTAGTTCTTCAATAAGCCCTTCACACATTTTTACCACGTCATCTCTAGGCACTTTTTCTGCAGTGCTAGCATCGTGATCTCACTATTATGACAACCACCTCGATTCACAACCATTTGATATTTCACCATCAGTCAATGCATGAACAACTCTGGAGCATCATTATCAATGATAAAGCTTCAATATTCACTTATTCCAGCTTACTGACAGACTCTGAAGGTATATTTTTTGCCTATTAAAGGAAATCCATTTTTTTCATCACTCGACATATAGAATCCTTTAAAGCCATCCCCTCATTAATTATCATCACTGAACACAGTCACTGGCAAGAAGTTGTGCCAGGTATACACAACTGTCATTTTAGTAAGTGTGTTCCAGGCATTGACAACAGCATATATGGCATTCTTCATGCTAAACCTCTTTTGAATACTTCCCATGCCCCCATCTCTGTTCATTGCTGCTGGTATGCTGTTCAAGAAAGTGCTTTTATGTTTACTCTTCATTGATCCAATGATATCATGGTCACATGGCTAAATTAATAAAATCACATTTTAGGCAAAAGTGCATGGCATAAACATTCTTTTTGATGAGAATTTTGGCTGGAAGATGAGCAGAACAGTTGTCAAGGAATAAGAAAATTATGCAGTCATCATCCAGTCCAGCTTCCCTGCAGTGCAGCACAGGGTGCTACTACAAGATATTTGTGAAACTAATCAGAAACGATGTTCTGGTGATTCATGCCTTTTTCTTAGCACAGCAATGGACTGGGAAGAAATTCACCAAGTGAAAACAGTGAAGACACAAGCTATTGCTTATCACAGCAAGTTGACTTAGTGTGCCTGCCCCATTAGCACATCCAAGTACAGTTATTTTGTCCTTGACCTCCTTAATTCCTACAGGAGCTGTCTCATGGCTGTAGTCAGTGTCTTTCTAGGGCAAAAAGGCCAAAATAGTGATGATTCATCAACATTATAGACTTGTTCTGGCATCAGATTTTCATGAGCAATGACCGTGGCAAACTCATTAATGAATTTCTCTGCTGCTTCTTGATCAGTAGTTGTTTTATTACAACAAATCTTAGAAAAGAATGCTCTTTTCTTGAATTTCTGCCACCAGCCTGTTAAATATTTACAGCTCTCTTCAATTTTCAGTTCACCATAATAGATCTTTTCTTGTTTCACGATCAGCATAGCATAAGTGCCGTGTATTCACTGTGAAAGGACACACTCTTTCATTACACAATGGAGACCTTCATTTTTAGCTTTATGCACTGCTTTTTAATTTTTAATTAATGTCTGCTCATTACTTTCAGAATATAACTTCAACAGTTTATCTTTCTGTTTCTTCACATCATACATAGTGGTCACTACAATACCATATTCTTCTGTAAGACATTTCACATTTCTGTAAGACATTTCACGCTGTCTTATATTACATTACAGAAATGTCTTCTGTAAGACATTTTACAGTGTCCAGTTTCTCTAACAGGTTAACTTTCTGTGCTATACATAAAAATAAATATTTCCTCTTTCGTATCACTGTTGCCCATAGTGTATATGCAGAACTTTTTTTGACATTCTCAGCAATATCTTTATAACATGGAGCAGAGAATAAGTAAACAACAACAACAAAATGTAGTGATTCATGCACAAAGATCTTGGCTTTGAAAACTTCGTGGGAACATGCCATTGGCACATCCAGCCTGCACCCATGCCATTTCATTTCATGTGCCATTTTGTGGCCATTCTTGTGTGGGGAAATCTGGGCACGTGTGGAAAATATATGTTGTAGCTGAAGAGGGCAGAAGTGGTCTTTTTACTATGGGGATGCTGAATATACTGCGTGTTGTGCCTGTGTTTTGACTGTAACCTGTCACATGAGGGCAGGTGTCGAATTTTCACCTTGTGGCATCATGTTGGTGCTCAAAAAGTTTTAAATTTTGGAGCATTTCAGATTTCAAATTTTCTGTTAGGAATGCTCAATCTGTACTCAACATTCACTGCATTTATTGGTTTTCTATGAGTTCCAGATACTGTGAAATTTGGAGTTGAATATACTTGATGAGCATATGATGAGGTAAACATTATTAAGTAATTTAAAATTAGATAAAAGATTGGTATTATAAATACAGTATAAATGACCAGGCTATGGAGTCTGAAGAAGGGCTAACACAATTTCCTTGGAAGGAGGAGAAATTTTAGCTTCTTTTGCAGAGCAAGTGGAGTTATGTTAAGAACTCATGTGTCAACAAATTACAATACAACTATTTAATATTGGTGTTCTTATATAGACTCTATAATCTCTGAGCTCAGGGTGCATATCAATCCTGTTCCTTTGTAGTTTTTCAATGCCTCTCATAAAGTAGATGTTTAATAATACCAGTTGAATGAATAAACAATATATAACAGAAACTGCATCTTTGTGTCAGAAATCAACACAGAGATTCAGTAAAGATTTATTCAGGAAATAGAAAAATTTAGCCAAAGTCTTGCTATTTGCAGAAAAAAAAAAAAAGGTTAAAGCCTTTGGTTGCTGGAGAGTGAATTGAATATAACTCCAAGATTTGAGGTTGGTGCTAATATTAGTATAAATACGGAATCAGGAGAAATGTTTGTCTTGAGTCCACAGGGGGAAAAAAAAGAAGTTTAGGACATTTTAAATTGAGATATCCAGGATATCTTACATCACAAACTATCAGGTCGGTAGTTCAAAATGCACTGTTGGATGCCAGAAGAAATATCTAAGCTTTAACCTACAGATTTCTGGAACTCCACATACAGGGAAAATGAGAGATTCAGACTTTAATGTTGAGGTAGGTATAAATATAGATTTAAATATATTAATTTATCTCTTTTTCTCTGTCTATATATAGATATGTATATTCCAAAAGGTTAAGAAATGATTTGGAAGAGGTAATGATTAGAGCTGAAAGCATGAATAAAATTTCTAAATAAAAATTAAAATAAAATTTAAATAATATATTAGAATCAAATAAAAACTAGAAAACAATTCTAAACGTTAAAATATGTATTAATTTCAGTAGTCAATATTTTAGTATGTCTATGTTAAAATATTATAAGAACATATAAATGTTATACTCTTGCAGACTTCACACATTTTGGCTATTTTTTGAACTGATCTCTTGTCTGCTCAAGTCTTTTTCCCCCTCATGTGGGGGAAAAAAGCAGAAATTAATTTTCTTCTAACAGTAGCAGTTGATATTTTAAATCACCATTCATTTGATTTATTGATTTGGCTTCATTCAAATTGTTTTGGGCCTGTCATATTGGCAAAATAAGTGAGGTTTTAATTACTTTTATTCCTCTTTATTCAGAGGATGTCCTTTTCAAAGGATCTTTTGCAGAAGGAATGCTTCAGCAAGTCAGGGAATGCATTTTTTCAACAATAAATCTATTCATGTGTTAGTATAAAATGCCACCTCAGGGGATGAAAGAATAATTTAAAAAATAGAAAATACCTTCTTTTTCTAGATCAGATTATTTACTATTTCATATTTTGTTTACATTCAATTAATCTGTAAAGAAAATTCAACTGAAATTAAATTCACAAAAGTGTTTTTCTAGTTTGGGTAACTAGGCAAAATAGTCCTAAATGTTTGTAGAATAAAAATGTTAACACCCCAGGTTGAAAAATAAAGTTTAGAGATTCTTGCCCAATCATATGTAAAACATGCACTTACTAATTATTAGTGAATGAATGAAATGAAATACTAGGAAAGTTTCAGAAAGGAGCACTGTGCCGAGACACAGTGTAAAGGGAAGACATATATTAGGTCAGAGTAGACATTGAGAAAAAGCCTCTGGCAAAAGAGCTCCCACACTAAACATGAGGTATCATTGAAGTTACTTAAAGTTTGCAGTGCCTTGAGGATAACTACAGCAAAATCAAGTCTCAAACTCAGCTTGACTCCTAAACACATTATATCAAGCCCCCATACTAAAGGTAAAACAGAAAGAAAGTCATGCCTATTCTCAGGCATAAAATTAATTTACCACAGTCACTTAACAGGTCTAGATTTTTAAAATAAAAATTATGGCCTGGCGCTGTGGCTCACGCCTGTTATCCCAGCACTTTGGGAGGCAGAGGTGGGCAGATCACAAGGTCAGGAGATCGAGACCATCCTGGCCAACACGGTGAAACCCCATCTCTACTAAAAATACGAAAAAAATTAGCTGGGCATGGTGGTGGGCGCCTGTAGTCCCAGCTACTCGGGAGGCTGAGGCAGGAGAATGGTGTGAACCTGGGAGGCGGAGCTTGCAGTGAGCAGAGATCTCTGCACTGCACTCCAGCCTGGGTGACAGAGTGAGACTACATCTCAAATAATAATAATAAAGATTATAAAGCATATCAAAAAACAAGAAAAAAATACTACAAGAGACAAAATAATCAACTAAACAAGACCAAGAAATTTCATAGATGTTGAGACTATTTGACATGGAATTGAAACTAATATAACTAATAGTTTAAAGGCTCTAAAAACAAGAGTAATAAGAAGTTTTAGAAGTTATTAAAACTATAAGAAAGAATAAAATGGAAATGAAAAAGAAGAAAAACACAGTAATGGAGATAAAGAATGCCTTCAATAGGCTCCTCAATGGACTCAGTTCAGATGAAGTAAGAGTAGATCAACTTATAAACATGTAAACAGAAACTAACCAAACATAAACACAGAGAAAATAAAGTTAAAGAGCACGCAAGAGCCATAGTACAATATCAAATAGTTTAATATGTTCTTAATTGAAATATTAGCTATAAGAAGAGAGAAATTGACAGAAGATATATTTGAAAAAATGAAGAAGAATGTTCTAAAAGTATAGCCAGACACCAAAACAAAAATCTAAGGAGCTTGGAAATCACCAAGCAAGCTAGCCATTATATAATTTTTGTGAGCTTTCATCACTTTGACAAAAAATATACCTGTAATAAACCCTTCATTTTTCAGCCCCATGTCCAAATTATTTGCTCTTTAATGCTGTGGCTAAGAGTATGCAGATTACATTTCCCAGGCCCTGTGACAGCTAGCTTCTTGTTAGTTTCTGCCAATAGAAGGCACTGATAGGAGATCAGAAGGCATGAGGATGACAGAAGCCACTGTCTTCTTCTCTTTTTGCATCTGTCAGGATTACTAGATGTGCACATTTATTAAGAAATTTTAACTTTAATCACAGGACTCAACTTTTCTGATTCCAGAAAAGTAGAAGCTCCACCCTTGTAGTTCCAGTACTACCCAGGTGGCCCCTCCTAAGTCTCTGAAAGCTCCTGTTCCTCCTCACTTTAATTCACCCACCTGTGCAGTAGGGGCCGGTGGCTGCTGCTTACTACACATACTGACAGCTTAGTTAAGTGACTCCATCCTTTCCTCTCTCAGCATTTCCAATACATACAACCAGTTTTCTCTAGTGTGGCTTCAGTTTTCCTGACAGGACTCTAATAAGGAAACCAATGCACAAGGGGAACAGACAGTTCCCTTATTTTAGTAATTCAAGTATTTGTTGCTAAAGTCAAAGCCATATATATATATATATATATATATATATATATATATATATGTTTAACTATATATATATATATATGTTTAACTATATATATATATATATATATATATATATAGTTAAAACCAAAGCATATCTATTTGTCTACGTATACAAACACACACGCATATACAATGTCAACTCTCTCTATAGATAGATAATAGATAGATAGATAGATATAGAAACAGAGACACGGAGGAAGAGACCCTTGAACAATGTGAGGGTTAGGGGTGCTGATCCCAGTGTAGTTGCAAATCTACCTATAACTTTGACTTCTCAAAAACTTAACTACTAACAGTCTACTGTTGACTAGAAGTCTTACCAGTAACATACTTGATTATACATATTTTGTATGTTATATGTATTATATAATATATTCTTAAAATAAATGAATGAAAAAATGTCATTTAAAAATTCATAAGAGAGAGAAAATATATTTACTATTCATTAAGTGGAAGTAGATCATTATAAAGATATTTATGCTCATCCTCTTCATGCTGAGCAGGCCAAGGAGGAAGGGGAAGAGGTGGGGGTATATATATATGTGTCTCACCACAAACAGATCTCTAATCAAGAGGCAAATAGTGAAATAAATCATAAGTCATAATATAAACATGCATTTGTATTTACAAAATAAATATTAGGTGAAATACTCAGCACACTACTAAATATTACCATTTACATATTACCATATTATATGTCACCATGCTACATGTAACCGTTAATGTGTGCTTGCAAGAAAAGCATGCAAGTATCCATATGCATGTTTGAGGAGGGTTTCCAAATTGATCAGTTGAAAATGCTCTGTGATAAAAGCTATGGATACTCAAATTAGGATAGATTTATAGCAACTAATTTTGACTGAGTCCCTTACTTTTGCTGAAGTTTACATGCACATTTGATTTAACTCTACACAACACACATTTATAAGAAGAATAGGCACTAATACTCTTTTCATAGAACCTAGAGGAGATTAAAAGGCTTTCTTCAATGTAAATTTAGTTCTGTATGACTACAAATTCCATGTTGCTTCCATGACGATATTTATTTATTTTTTTTAGTTTTCTATAGGTCTTTTAACTTCGGATGAACCATTTTCCAAGTCAGTAATATTGGAAAACTGTATAAAACACATATTAATGGTAAGACCTAGACCTGCCTTGTAATTATGATAAACACTACCCACATGTGCTTATTTAGATGTTAAATTGTTAATTAGAATTGGGTAAAATTAAAATTTAATTCCTGACTAGCAGTACCCACATTTCAAATGTTCAGTAGCCACATGTGTCTAACCATAGTGGTGAGCATAGTCATAGAATATTTCTATCACAGAAAATTCTGTTGAATAACACTGATTTAGAATATAAGATACTTATAAAGGGAAAGTAAATGCATCCTTTATTTTCTCTAAAATCAATTTTATGTCATTTCCAATTTTTCCCTTTAATGTATTTCAAGGGTATAACACAGAATTTCTTAAATTGCAGTAGTTTCAAATGATACAGTAACAAGTATAAGATCTTTAGGCCACATGCCTACAAAAATATAAAATGCAACTCTGAATGAAAATTTCATAAGCCTACTGACAAATTAAAAAATGGAGGAGTCAGAACTCAGGCACTATTTCTCAAACTGGAAACAATAGTTACATTCAGAAAAATATAAAAATATATAGGAAATTATTTTCTAGAAACTGTAAAATATGAAAAAAGAAATTATTGGCTTAAAAAATAGAAACTAGTTATCAAAAACACTTTAATGAAAGAGAAGCAGGGAAACTGTAAGAATGCTAAAACTCATTTACATACATAGCATATTGACAACACACCTAAGAAGAAAAATCAAATTGAATGGTACTTTGAAAAGACAGTCCAACACATTAACTATGCCAATAACAACATCAAAACTGCCATTTCTCTCCAGCAATAAGTAGCAATATGTAGATTACAAGGTACATCAGAGGAAAAGGCCATGGAAAGATTACTGGTCACACCCAAGTTAATAATGGCAGCATGAAGGTCAGCAACCATGACCACTGTCACTCACACAGTCATTCACACAGTGTTCAGCAAGTGATCCCTCTTACCATCCCCGGGGGAAGAGTCCCACTGTGGAGAGAATAACAAAGAGCACAACAATGCCTACCAACAGGAACAGTCCTAGGGTGTCAATTCATTGCATCGTTTGAAGGTGTCACAGTTACTAAGAGAAACATGGACAACATATCACACTCGCCCATCACACAGGCACTGGATGGAACAAGACTTTACTTAGAGAAGACACAGAGAAAGATCAGCTTCTGTAGTAAGTATAGGTTCCCCATGGCCAGCAGGTCTCAGCCTGTATCTAGCTCATGCAGGGAGATGGTCCATACTTACCCTCTTTATGCTGAAGATAAATGATCCATTTCCCTCCTCACTTGGATTATAGATAGCAGTGTGATTGGTTAGGTGCTATATTATACACATGCTTAAGCAGAACAAGAATGGACAAAAGAAACCCAGAAAAGGGAAGATATGTCCAAAGTTATATGCCTGGCACAATCTGTGAGCACTAGTTATCTGCATGTAAGAAAATGTTTCAGGCATAAGACACACTCTTATATCAACCATGGAAGGGTAGGCAGGCTGCACTCACAGTTTTATAAGTTTCCCAACATACAGTCTCATAAGTTGATTCATTTTCTCTCATTCTTAGTCTCCTTATATATATTTTAGAATAATATTATTGTTTTTGTGTTTTTTTGTAAACAACTCAGAGGGTATTTGGGAGACTAAGTAAAATAAATACTGGCTACAAGAAACCTTGAATTTTTCAAACCAGGTACTATTTAAATATAAGCTGTTGATATGTTGTCCAAAGTTTGAATTTGGCAATTCTTGGTGAAGAATACAAATATAGGAGGAGGTAGAGAAAGATGGAAGAACAGAAGGCTCTTCCAATCTCTACCCCACCCACCCCACCAAAAGGACACCAATTTAAAAACTATCTACACAAAACAGGCACCTTAATACAACCAAAAATCAGGTGAGCACTCACAGTACTTGGTTTTAATTTCCCATTGCTGAAAGAGGCACTTGAAGAGGTAGAAAAAACAGTCATCAAATGCTAAGCTACCCTTACCCCATCCCCTGGAAGTGGTGGTGAGGTGCAGAGACAGAATCTGAACTCCTGGGAGAGGGAGGGCACAATAATTGTGAGACATTACATTGAACTCAGTGCTGCCCTGTTATGGCAGAAAGTTAAACTAGGACGAACTCAGTTCATGCCTGCTCATGAAGGGAGTATTTAAACCAGCCCTAGCCAGAGGGGAATCACCCATCCCAGCAGTAAGAACGTGAATTCCTGCAAGCCTTGCCACCATGGGCTAAAGTGCTCTGGAGCTCTAAATAAACTTGAAAGGTAGTGTAGACCACAAGGACTGCAACAGCTATGCAACTTTTAGTGCTGAACTGAGCTCAGAGCCAGGGGACTTCAGGGGCATGTGACCTACTGAGACACCAACTGGGGAAGCTAGGAGAGTGCTGGCACCACAACTCCCCTAACTCCAGGCTGCACAGCTCAAAGCTTCAAAAGAGACCCCATCCTTCCACTTGAGGAGAGGAAAGGGAAGAATGGGGAGCACTTTGTCCTGCATCTCAGAAATCAACTCAACCACAGCAGAAATAAGACACCAGTTGGAGTCATGAAGTTCCCTTTCCAGGCCCTAGCTCCCAGATGACATTTCTAAATACACTTTGGACCAGAAGAGAACCTGCTGTCCCGAACAGAAGGACCTAGTACTGGCAGAATTTATCACTGGCTAACTGAAGAGCCCTTGGGTGGGCTCTTCAGTGAATAATCAGTGGTGATACCCAGGTAGTACGTCATGAGCCTTGGGTGAGACTCTGAAACTTGCTGGCTTCAGATGAGACTCAGCACATTCCCAGCTATGGTAGCTATAAGAAGAGACTCCTGCTTGATAAAAGCAAGAGAAAATAAAGGAGACTTTGTCATATGTACCTTAGGTACTAGCTCAGCCAAAGCAGGGGTAGAACACAAAGCAGACTCTTGGGGTCCCTGATTCCAGGACTTGGCTCCTGGAAAGCATTTCTGGAACTGTCCTGGGCACAAAGGGAGCCCACTGCCCTGATGAGTGAGTCCTAGCTCAGGCACCATTCACAAGCTGACTGAAGAGCCATTGACCTTAAGGGAACATCAGAGATAGCCTAGTAGAATTCCCTGTGGGCTTGTGGTGGTGGTGGCCACAGGGCGAGGCTCCTCTGCCTTTGGAAAAGAGGGAAGAGTGGGAACAACTGCATTTTGTGGTTTTAGTGTCATCTCAACTGCAGTACAATAGAACACAAGGTAGACTTCCAAGGTTTCTGACTCTAGTTCCTGGCTCCTGGACATTACCTCTGAAACTGCCCAAGGCCTAGGAGAACTTGCTTCCCTGAAGAGAAGGAAACAAGCCTGGCTGGCTTCACCAATTGCTAACTGTAGAACCCCAGGGCCTTGAGACAATATAGGAGGTAGCCAGGAAGTGGTTATGGCAGGCCTTGAATGAGACCCAGTGCTGTGCTGGGTCAGGTCTGACCTAGCACAGTCCTAGTGGTGGTGGCCACAGAGGTGCTTGTGTCACTCCACCTTTATATCCAAATGGCTCAGAACGGAGAGAGAGAGAGAGACAGACTACATTTGTTCTGGAGAAAGTAACGGAACAGAACAAGAGTCTCTGCCAGGTAATCCAGAGAATTCTCCTAGATCTTGTCTAAGACCATCAAGGTGGTACCTCTAATCTACATGAACCACAGTGCCACTGGGCTTGGGGTGTCCCCTAATGCAGATCAACTTAGATTGCAACACTCAAGGGCTTTCAAATATCTGAAAAGCCTTCCCAAAAACGAAGGGTACAAATAAGCTCATACTACAAAGACTACAATAAATACCTAACTTTTCAATGCCCAGACACAGACAAAAAATTACAAGTGTCAAGATAACCCAGGAAAATGACCTCACAAAATGACTACACAAGTGTAGTAGTCTGCTTTCATGCTGCTGATAAAGACATACCTGAGACTGGGCAATTTACAAAAGAATGAGGGTTATTGGACTTACAGTTCCACATGGCTGGGGAGGCTTCACAATCATGGCCAAAAGCAAGGAAGAGCAAGTCACATCTTACGTGGATGGCAGCAAGAAAAGAGAGAATGTATCAGCAGGAGAAATGCCAGATGCTTACAAAACCATCAGATCTCATGAACACTCACTCACTATCAGGGGAACAGTATGGGAGAACTGCCTCCATGATTCAATTATCTCCCACTGGTTCCCTCCCACAACATGTGGGAATTATGGGAGTACAATTCAATATGAGATCTGGGTGGGTACACAGAGCCAAACAATATCATTCTGCCCCTGACCCCTCCCAAATCTCATGTCCTCACATTTCAAAACCAATCATGCCTTCCCATCAGTCCCCCAGCGTCTTAACTCATTTCAGCATTAACTCAAAAGCCCACAGTCCAAAGTCTCATCTAAGACAAGGCAAGTCCCTTCTGCCTATGAGCCTGTAAAATCAAAAGCATATTAGTTAGTTCTTGGATACAATGGGAATACAGGCATTGGGTAAATATAGCCATTCCAAATGAAAGGAATTGGCCTTTGGGCTACAAGTCCTATGCAAGTCTGAAATCTAGCAAGGCACTCAAATCTTAAAGCTACAAAATGATCTCCTTTGACTCCATGTCTCATATTGAGGTCATGCTGATGCAAGAGGTAAGTTCACAAAGTCTTGGGCAGCTCCACCTCTGTGGCTTTGCACAGTATAGCTCCCCATCTGGCTGCTTTCATGGGCTGGCATTGTGTCTGTGGCTTTTCCAGGTGAACAGTGCAAGCTGTCAGTAGATCTACCATTCTAGGGTCTGGAGGATGGTGTCCCTCTTCTCACAGCTCCATTAAGTGGTGCCCCTGTAGGGACTCTGTGTGGGGGCTCTGACCCCACATTTCCCTTCCACACTGTCCTAGCAGAGGTTCTCCATGAGAGCCCTGCCCTTGCAGCAAACTTCTGCCTGGATATCTAGGCATTTCCATGCATCCTCTGAAATCTAGGTGGAGGTTCCCAAACCTCAATTCTTAATTTCTGTGCACCTGCAGGCTCAACACCATGTGGAAGCTGACAAGGCTTGGGGCCTGCACCCTCTGAAGCCACAGCCTGAGCTCTATGTTGGTCCCTTTCAGCCATGGCTGGAATGGCTAGTACACAAAGCACCAAGTCCCTAGGCTGCACATAGCATGGGAACCACGGGCTCAGCACACAAAACCACATTTTCTTCCTATACCTCCAGGCCTGTGATGGGAGGGACTACAATGAAGACCTTTGATATACCCTGGAGACATTTTTCCCATTGTTTTGGGGATTAGCTTTAGGCTACTCCTTACTTATGCAAATTTTTGCAGCCAGCTTGAATTTCTGCTCAGAAAATGTGTTTTTCTTTTCTATCACATTGTCAGGCTGCAAATTTTCCAAACTTTTATGCTCTGCTTCCCTTATAAAACTGAACGTCTTTAACAGCACCCAAGTCACCTCTTGAATACTTTGCTGCTTAGAAATTTCTTCTGCCACATACCCTAAATCATCTCTGTCAAGTTCAAAGTTCCACAAATCTCTAGGACAGGGGCAAAATGTCACCAGTCTCTTTGCTAAAGCATAACAAGAGTCACCTTTGCTCCAGTTCCCAACAAGTTCCTCATCTCCATCTGAGACCACCTCAGCCCAGCTTTCATTGGCTATATCATTATCAGCATTTTGGCCAAAGCCATTCAACAAGTCTCTAGGGAGTTCCAAACTTTCCCACATTTTTCTGTCTTCTTCTGAGCCCTCCAAACTGTTCCAACCTCTCCCTGTTACCCACTTGCAAAGTTGCTTCAACATTTTCGGGTATCTTTTCAGCAACACCCCACTCTTCTGATACCAATTTACTGTATTAGATCATTTTCATGCAGCTGATAATGACATACCCAAGAATGGGCAACTTACAAAAGAATGAGGGTTATTGGACTTACAATTCCACATGGCTGGGGAGACTTCACAATCATGGCAGAAGGCAAGGAGGAGCAAGTCACATCTTACAGGGATGGCAGCAGGCAAAGACAGAATGTACCAGCAGGGGAAATGCCAGATGCTTCTAAAACCATCAGATCTTGTGAGAACTAATTCACTACCACAAGAACAGTATGGGGTAAACTGCTTCTATGATTTGATTATTCCCACTGGTTCCCTCCCACAACATGTGGGAATTATGGGAGTACAATTCAAGATGAGATCTGGGTGGGGACACAAAGCCAAACTATATCAATAAGCAACCATTGACCAATTCTGGAGAAACAGAGACATATAACCTTTTATACAGATAATTCAAAATAGTTGTGTGAAGGAAACTGAAAGGAATTAAACATACAGAGAAGGAATTCAAAATTCTATTAGATAAATTCAACAAAGAGATTCAAGTTATTAAAAAGAATAAAGCAGAAATTCCAGAGCTGAAAAATGTAATTGAAAAATGGAGAATACATCAGAGTCTCTTAATAGTAGAATTGATCAAGCTGAAAGAACTGTTCAAGATGAAAGACTTAGTGAGCCTGGAGACAGGCTATTTGAAAATACACGGTCAGAGGAGACAAAAGAAAAGAGAACTAAAATAAAATAAAATAAAATAAAGCACACCTACAAGATCTAGAAAATAACCTCCAAAAACAGATCTAAGACTTATTGGCCTTAAAGTTGAGTTAAAGAAAGTGATGGGGTAGAAAGTGTATTTAAAGGGATAATAACAGAGAACATCTCAGACCTAGAGAAAGAAATCAATATCCAAATACAAAAAGGTTATAGAACATCAAGCAGATTTAACCCAAATTAGATTACCCCCAGGCATTTAATAAACTTCCAAAGATGAAGAATGAAGAAAGGATCCTAAAAGGAGCAAGAGATAGAAAGAGAGAGAAAGAAAAAAAAAACATATAATGGAGTTGCAACATATATGGCAGCAGACTTTTCAATGGAAATCTTACAGGCCAGAATTAGTGGCATGACATATTTAAAGTCCTGAAAGACAACAAAATTACCCTGGAATAGTATATCTGGTGAAAATATCCTTCAAACATAAAAGAAAAATAAACACTTTCTCAGACATACAAAAGTGGAGGAATTTCATAAACACAAGACCTGTCCTACCTACCATAAATACTAAAAGGAGTACATCGATCAGAAAGAAAATGAGCAATATAAAATAATCTGAAAGTAAAAACTTACTGATAATAGTGAGTACTCAGAAAAACACAGAATATTACAACACTAACTGTGGTGTGCAAACTACTGTTATCTTAAGCAAAAACTCTAAAGGATGAACCAATAAAAATAATAAATATAATTTTTATGGCACATATATTACAATAATATATAAACAGAATCAACAAAAAGTTGTAAAGTAACGGGATAAATTTAAAATGTAGAGGGGTTTTTTTTGCTTCTTTGTTTATGCTAACAGTGTTGTTATCAGCCTAAAATAATGGGTTCCAAGATAGTATTTTCAAAGTTCATGGTAACCTCAAATCAAAAAAAACATACAACAAGTACACATTAAGTAAAAAATTAAGTCATATCACCAGAGAAACTCACCTTCATTTAAAGGAATACAGGAAGAAAGTAAAGAAGGAGAGACGATCACAAAAAAAGGAAACAGAAAACAAATAAAAAATAGTAGGAGTGAGTCCTTACTTATCAATAATAACATTGTGTATTAGTGGACTAAACACTCCACTCAAAAGACATACATTGGATGGATTTAAAAATTACAATTCAATGATTTTTTGTGTTTAAGAAAAAAAAATAACCTATTGAGACACCTGTAGACTGAAAATAAAGTGATAAAAAAAAGACAGTCCATGCCAATGGAAACCAAAAAAGAACAAAAGTAGCTATATCATACAGAATAGATTGCAAGACAAAAACTGTAAGAAGTGACAAAGATGATAATAAAGGGGTAAATTCAGCAAGGGGATATAACAATTATAAATAATATCCATCTAACACTGGAGCACCCAGATATATAAAGCAAATATTATTAGAGCTAAAGAAAGAGATATATGCCAACACAATAATGATCCAGGATTTTTTTGTTCCTTAGTTCAGCTAAAATCCAGTTCTTGTCTCATGACCAGGAAAAATTAGGCACAGAGACACATCAAAGAGTGTGGAGAGCACATTTACTAGACAAAAAGAAAGCTCTCAGCCAAGAAGAAGGGGGTTCTGCTAACAGGCTCCCACCTCATAGATTGAATACCAGGCCACCACACAGGAGCATATGCAGACCCCCAGTTCACCGCGGGCAAGCCCAGGCAAGACCCTGTGCAGGTTCCCTTACCTGCCTCCTGCATCTATCAATAATAGCTGGAGACTTCAATACCCCACGTTCAGCATTAGACAGATCTTCTCACCAGAAAATCAACAAAGAAACATGAGACTTAAACTGCACTACAGATCAAATGGACCAAATAGATGTTTACAGATCATTTTATCCAATAGCTGCGGAATATACACTTTTTTTCCTCAGTACATGGATCATTCTCAAGGATGTACCATATGTTACCTCACAAATCAGGTATTAAAACATTAAAAAAACAGAAATAGGCCGGGTGCAGTGGCTCACACCTGTAATCCTAGCACTTTGGGAGGCTGAGGCGGGCACATTACCTGAAGTCAGGAGTTCATGACCAGCCTGGTCAATGTGGTGAGACTCCATCTCTACTAAAAATATAAAAATTAGCCTGGTGTGGTGGCAGGTGCCTATAATCCCAGGTACTCAGGAGGCTGAGGCAGGAAAATCACTTGAACCCAGGAGGTGGAGATTACAAGTGAGCCAAGATCGCCACTGCAAGCTAGCCTGGGCGACAAGAGTGAAACTCCATCTCAAAAAGAAAAAAAAAAAGCAGAAAAACCAAAAAAAAAAACAAAAAAAAAACCATAAATAATATCAAGCATCTTCTCTAACCACAATGAAATAAAACTAAAAATCAATAACAAGAGGAATTTTGGAAATGATATGAATATATGGAAATTAAACAATATGCTCCTGAATGATGGGCAGTATGTCTATGAATACAAAATTAATTCAGGATAAAAAGTTAATTATGAAGGAAGTTGAAAACTTTCCTGAAACAAATGATAATGTAAACACAATATACCAAAACTTATGAGACACAGCAAAAGCAGTACAAAGGAAGATTATAGCTATAAGTTCCTAATCAAAAAAGAAGAAAAACTTCAAATGAACAACCAAACAATATATCTTGAAGAATTGAAAAGCATGATAAACCAACAATTAGTAGAAGAAATCATAAAAATCAGAGCAGAAATAAATGAAATTGAACAAAACAATGCAAAACATCAATAAAACATAAAAAAGTAAAACAAGTTAAATAAAATTGGCAGTACCCTAGAAGTTAAAGTATAATAAAAATATATATAAAAAATTGACAGACCTTTAGCCAGACTTTGAAAAAAGAGAGACGACCCACATAAATAAAATTAGAGTTGAAAAATGAGACATTATGACTGATACTGCAGAAATTTAAAGCATCATTAGTGATACTATGAGTAAGTGCATGCCAATAAATTGGAAAATCTAGAAGAAATGGATACATTCCTACAAACAGAATTGGACATAATATTGGTTTCTGAACTAGGATGATGTCTAGAACCTGAACAGACAAATAACAAGCAACAAGATCAAGGCCATAGTTAACAGTCTTCCAGCAAAGAAAAGCCCAATCCCTGATTACTTCGCTGCTAAATTGTATCAAACAATTACAGAAGTACTATTACCTATCCTACCTAAACTATTCCAAAAAATAGAAGAGGTGGGAATACTTTGAAACTCATTCTACAAGGCCAATATTACCCTGAAACAAAAACAAAAGACACATAAAAATGAACTACAGGCCAATATCGCTGATGAATATTGATACAAAAGTCTTCAACAAAATATGAGCATATCAAATTTCACAACACATTAAAAAGATCATTCATCAGGATGAAGTGAGATTTATCCTTGGGATGAAAGAATTGTTCAACATACACAAGTTAATCAATGTGATACCTCATATCAACAGAATGAAGGACAAAAACTATATGATCAGTTCCATTGATGTTAAAAAAGCATTGGTAAAATTCAACATCCCTTCATGATAAAAATCCTCAAAAACTGTATAGAAGGAACATAACTAAATATAATAAAAGTCATATATGACAGACCCAGAGATAGTATTTAACTGAATGGGAAGAAACTGGAAGCCTTTTCTCTAAGACCTGGAACATGACAAGAATGCTCACTTTCATCACTGTTACTCAACATAATACTGGAAATCCTAGCTAGAGCAATTGGAAAAGAGAAATCAATAAAGAGCACCAACACTGGAAAAGAAGAAGTCAAATTATACTTTTTTGCAGATGACATGATCTTAAAGTTGGGAAAAACCTAAAGACTACACACACACACACACACACACACACACACACGCACACACACAAAAAAAACCTCTAAAAACTAAAAAGCAAATTCAGTAAAGTTTCAGGATACAACATTAACATACAAAATCAGCAGCATTTGTATACACCAACACACTGAACAACCTGAAAAATAAATCAAGAAAGTAATCTTATTTAAAATAACTACAAATAATATAAAATACCTAATAATTAAATTAACCAAATAAGCGAAAGATCTCTACAATGAAAACCATAAAACATTAATGCAAGAAATTGAAGAGGACACACAAAAATGATAAGATGTTTCATATCTATGGATTGAAAGAATCAATATTGTTAAAATATCTACACTATCCAAAGAAATCTGCAGATTGAATCCAATCCCTATCAAAAAACCAATAATATTCCTCACAGAAATAGGAAAAAAAATCCTAAAATTTACATGAAACCACAAAAGACCCAGAAGCCAAAGCTATCCTGAGCAAAAGAAAAAAAAAATTGGAGGAATCACATTGCCTGACTTCAAATTATACAACAAAGCTTTAGTAACCAAAACACCACGGTACTGACATAAAAACAGATACACAGACTAGTGGAACAGAATAGAGAACCAAGAAGTAAATCCATATATCTACAGTGTACTTATTGTCGACAAAGCTGAGAAGAACACACTTTGGAAAAAGGACGGTCTTTTCAATAAAAGGTGCTTTGAAAACTGGATATTCATATGCAAAAGTTTGAAAGTACAGTTAAAGAGAATAAATAAGACATAGTATTTGGTAGCACAACAGGGTGACTACAGTAAAAAGTAATTTAATTGTACATTTTAAACCTAAGGGTATAATTGCATTGTGTGAAACACAAGGGATAAATACTTGAGGCATTGGATAGCCTATTTACCCTGATGTGGGGTACATCACATTGTATGACTGTATCAAAATATCTCATGTAACCCATACATATACATACCTACTATGTACCCACAACAATTTAAAATTTAAAAATTTATGTAAAAGAATATAAATATATAGAAAATATAGTGGCAGAATGAGACCTAGTCATTTTTCATTAATATGGATGCCTTCCTGATTCTTACTATAGTAAGAATCCAGGGCTTCAATCCCAACAGCTGGTTTCATGATGAAATAGTTAAAATGGTGATTGCATAGATTATAGCAGAGTAATTCTGAGACAATGAGAACACAGAGATTCGGAGGAAATATTTCATATCTATTTTTCTTTCCCGTATCTTGCTTCTAAAAACAGAAAATCAGCAAGGTTTCTCACAGGCTACAAAATAAAGACCTAATTGCCTTCAAGGTATTCCCAGCTCTAGACTAGTTTGATTTCAGTAGACTTACTTTAGACTTTTTGCCCTACTCCAGAGTTATTAATTAATAATAGTACAGACAATAATAAACATTAACTACCATTTATAAAGTTTTCTTGTGTGCCACATTCAATTTACATTATCCCACTTACTTTTTAAAATAATCCCTCAGAAATAGTATTACTAGTTGGGTCATACTGTTAAAGGAACCATGGATTACAAAAGTTACGTGATTTTTTTTTAGAGTCACATTATAAATAAATGGTTGATTATAAGACATCCTACATGTCTGATTCCACATTGCAAGCTCCTTCCAAAGCAGTACTGCCTCAATGGAATTGAACAAAGTAGGTTTGACGATTCACAGCTATTTCTCCAGATTCTACACATTCAACCCTGATCAGAATTTACTACTGGCAACCCTTAGTATTTATTTTGGCAGGATAAATCAAGGTTTACCTACTGAAGAAAGTGAGTGCCACTTTTGTCTTGATAAATTAAAGCAAAGTGACTATTCTTTCCCACAAACTCAAAGTGAATTAAAATATTGTGAAATTTGGAGACTTGGTTTCAACTTTGTAACTTCGGACTTGGCAAATAACCTATGTCTTATAGTCTTTGGTGGTAATGCCTCAGTAGGCTTTTGTGAAAAATGCGTGATGCACAGAAGAAAAAAAACTGGTAAATTATAATTCACTGTGAATATATATTATTGTCCATTATCATTGTCAGTAAAAGGGATTGAGGAGTTGGTAAAATTCTCTAGCCAAAGACCTAAGGAGAAACACATTCATAGTCAATAAAGGGTAAATTGAACAGACAATTCTCAAAAGAAGACATACATGCAACCAACAAACATGGAAAAAAGTTCAACATCACTAATAACTAGATAAATGCAAATCAAAACCACAGTGAGATACCATCTCATGCCAGTCAGAATGGCTATTCATAAAAAGTTAAAAAACAACAGATGCTGGTGAGGTTGCGAACAAAAGGGAACACTTTTACACTGTTAGTGGGAGTGCAATTAATTCAGCCATCGTGGAAGGCAGTGTGGTGATTCCTCAAAGACCTAGATGCAGAAATACCATTTGACCCAGCAATCTGATTAGTAGGTATACACCTAAAGAAATAAAGACATATAAAGACACATGCACAAGTATGTTCATTGCAGCACTAGCACTATTCGCAATAGCAAAAACATGGAATCAACCTAAATGCCCATGAATCTGAATAAAGAAAATGTGGTACATATACACCAGGGAATACTATGCAGCCATAAAAAGGAACAAGATCATATCTTTTGTAGAGACATGGATGGAGTTGGAAGTCATTATCCTCAGAAAACTAACGCAGGAACAGAAAACCAAATACCACATGTCCTCACTTATAAGTGGGAGCTGAACAATGAGAACATATGGACACAGGGAGGGGAACAACACACTCTGGTGCCTGTCAAGGGTGGTTGGTGGCAGGAGGGAGAGCATCAAGAACAATAGCTAATGGACTCGGAGCTTAACCCTAAGTGATGGGATGATCTGAGCAACAAACCACCATGGCACACGTTTGCCTGTGTAACAAACCTGCACATCCTGCACATGTACCCTTGAACTTAAAAGTTGAAGGAGAAAAAGTGAAAAAAACAGTCTACTGCTACTTGCAAGAATATTGAAAAACCTTACAGACGTAATATTGAGCAGCAGAAGCTAAATATCAAGTAATATATGTAGCCTTTTCAATTTGTATGAAGCTCAAAAATAGTAAAAAAAAAAAGAAAGAAAAGAAACAATGGTGTTAAAAGTCAGAATGGTGGTTACATTTTGAGAGGAAAGACGTAATGATTAGAGGGACATTATTTTCTGTATCTTGCTTGTGAAACTAGAAAATTAGCAAGGTTACTCACAGGCTACAAAATAAAAACCTAATTGCCTTCAAGGTATTCCCAGCTCTAGGTTAGTTTGATTTCAGTAGACGTACTTCAGATTTTTAGATCTACTCCAGAGTTATTAATTAGTGATAGTACAGACAATAATAAACAAGAGGGGCTATCTGTATTGGGAGCATTAAAATTCTTTTACTAGATAATTGATGTATAGATGTGTTCACATTGGGATAACTCTCTGAGCTATATATATAAAATTTGTGCAATTTTCTGTATGTATATTATGCTTCAATAAAAAGTTTTCTTGTAAAAATAGAAAGGGTAAGTTTCTTTTAGCTTACTGCAAAGAGAGAGTATAGAGAGTGGTGCCTTTTGGTAAGAGGAAATTTGGAAAGGCTATTTATGAGATTTGGGCTTGTGCTGACTGATTTTTTTAAATGGCTTTATTGAGAAATAATTCACATATCATAAAATTCACCCTTTTAAACCATATAATTGATTGGGTTTTAGTATATTCAAAGAGTTGTGCAGCCATCACTACTATCTAATTTTAGATCACTTTCATTACTCCCAAATGAAACACTGTAACTGTTAGCAGTCACTCCCCACTTCCCATTCTACCTAGTCCTGGGCAACCACAAATTTGCTTCTGTCTCTTTGGATTTCCCTATTACTTTATATAAATGTAATCATACAATATGTGGATTTTTGTAACTAACTTCTCTAATAAGTTTGAAAGTACACATATATATCGTTGCTTCATTCCATTTTATTGTTAAATAATATCCTATTGAGTGGATATGTGACATTTTGTTTATCTTCTCAGTTGATGAAAATTTGGATTGCATCTACTGTTTGTCTACTATCAGTAATGTTGCTATAAACATTCATGCACAGATTTTTGTGTGGACATATGTTTTCAATTCTTTTAAATATCTAGAAGTGAAGTTGCCAGACCATATGATCACTCTATGTTTAAACTTTTGAGGAATTTCTCTACAGTGGCTACCCATTTGGCAATCCCATCAGTATTGTATGAGGATTCCAATATCTACACCTACTCACAAACATTTGTTATTATCTTATTTTTTATTTTAGCCATCCAATTCTGTATGAAATGGTATCTCAACGTGGTTTTGATTTAAATTTTCTTATGACTCATGATGTTGAGCAGCTTTTCATTTGCATATTATCCATTTGTATATTTTCTTTAGAGAAATGTGTGTTCATATCTGTTGCCCACGTATTATTGATTCTTTATCTTTTATTGTTGGGATTTAAGAGTTCTTTACATATTCTAGATAGAAATCTCAACATATAAATGATTTGCAATATTTTCTCCCATTTTATGGGTTGTCTTTTCACTCTTAATGCAGTCCTTTGAAGTATAAATATTTTTAATTTGATAAAGTACAGTTTACCTATTTATTTTTCTTTTGTTGATTGTTCTTTTGGTTGGTGTTATGTCCAACAAACCGTTTTCTCACCCGAGTTCATGAAGATTTCTTCTTTTGTTTTCTTATGTCACAATGCTGAACTCATTTGTTAGTTTTAATAGCATGGGCGTGTGTGTATGTGTATTTGTATGTGTGTGTGTGTGTATGTGTGTGTGTTTGTACATTTTGTATATATCCAGATCATCTTGTTTGAGAATAAAGATATTTCTACTATTTTGCTTCCAAACTGGATGACTTATTTAATTTTTTTGCCTAATTGCCCTGCCTGAAATCTCCAGCATAAGGATGATTAGAAGTGCTGATAGTTGGACATACATGTCTTGTTCCCAACCTTCAGGACAAGACTCTTGGTCTGTCACCTTTAAATATATTGTTAGTTGTAGATTTTTCATAGGTGCCCTTGTCTTCTATTCCTAGTTTTTTGAGTTTTTTTTTTAATCAGAAAAGGGTGTTGGATTTTGTCAGATTATTTTTCTGAGCTTATTGTGATTATATGGATTCTGTTTGTTATTATATTACTTTAAATTACATTAATTTATTTTTGTTCATTGAATTAATTTTGCATTACTAGGATAAATCCCACTTGGTTATGTTATATAATTCTTTTTACATGTTTTTGGATTCAATTTGCTAGGATTTTGTTAAAAAAATTTTGCATCTATATTTATAAGAGATATTGGTCAGTGGTTTTCTTTACCTCTGATGTTTTTGTCTGCCTTTGGTAACAGGGTAATACTGGCCTCATAGAATAAGTCAGAACATGATTCCTTCTCTTTTAATTTTTGAAGGAGTTTGTGAAAAATTGGTGTTCATTTTGCATTAAACATGTGGTCAAATTCACCTATAAAGTTATCTGATCCTAGTCTTTTCTTTATGGAAAATGTTCTTTTTCCTTTTATTTTTTGAGACAGGGTCTCTCTGTTACCCAGTCTGAAGTTCAGTAGTATAATCACAGTTCACTGCAGCCTCAACCTCCCAGGCTCAAGTGATCCTCCCATCTCTGCCTCTGGAGTAGCTGGGACTACAGGCACTTGCCACCATGCCTGGCTATTTTTCATTTGTTTATTTATTTATTTGTAGAAACCTGATCTCTCTATGTTGCCCGGTCCAGTCTCAAACTCCTGGGCTCAAGTGATCCTCCCACCTCAGCTCCCCCAAAGTGCTGGAATTACAGGCATGAGACTCTGCACCCAGCCAGAATTTTTTTAATTAGAAATTTAATCTATTTGTTTGTTAGAAGTTTAGCATATTTAATATTTCTACATGTAATTATTCATACTATTCCCTTATAATGCTTTTTTTCTTTTCATGAGGTCTCAGTATTTGGCTCATACTTATAAGTGAGAATATGCAGTATTTAGTTTTCTGTTTCTGCATTAGTTTGCTAAGGATAATGGTCTCCAGTTCTATTCTCATTCCTGAAAAGACATGATCTCATCTTTTTTATGGATGCATAGTATTACATGATGTATATGTACCACATTTTCTACATCCATTGATAGGTATATAGGATAGGCATAAGTTGCATTGATGGGCATATAGGTTGGTTCCATGTCTTTGCTATTGTGAATGGTGATGCATTGAACATTCACATGCATGTGTCTTTATGGTAAACTAATTTATATTCCTCGGGTATATACCTGGTAAATGGGATTGCTGGGTTGAATGGTAGTTATGTTTTTAGCTCTTGAGGCATAATCATACTGCTTTCCACAATCATTGAACTAATTTACACTTCTATCAACAGTATATAAGCATTCCCTTTTCTCTGCAATCTTGCCACATCTGTTATTTTTGGCCTTTTTATTATAGCCATTCTGACTGGTGTGATGTGAGATGGTATCTCATTGTGATTTTGATTTACATTTTTCTAATTATTACTTATTTTGGGCTTTTATTTCATATGCTTGTTGACTCGATGTATCTCTTCTTTAGAAAAGTTTCTGTTACTGTACTTTGCCCACTTTTAAATTTTTTTTCTAGTAAATGTGTTTAAGTTTCTTATAGAAGCTGAATAATAGACCTTTGTCAGATGCATAGTTTGTAAAAATTTTCTCCCATTCTATAGGTTGTCTGTTTGCTCTGTTGATAGTTTCTTTGGCTATGCAGAAGCTCTTTAGTAGATACCATTTGCCAATTTTTGCTTTTTTGTGATTGCTAAAAAAGGCCCTGGTCTAGATGAATTCACAGTCAAATTCCACCAGAAGTACAAGAGGAGCTGATATCATTCCTACTGAAACCATTTCAAAAACTTGAGAAGAGAATCCTCCCCAACTCACACTATGAGGCCCGCATCATCCTGACACGAAACCTGGCAGAGATACAACAAAAACAAAAACAACAAAAATGTCAGGCCAATATCTTTGATGAGTATTAATGCAAAAATTCTCAACAAAATACTAGCAAACTGAATCCAGCATTTGTCAAAATGCTAATCCACCATGATCGTGAACGCTTCATTCCTGGTATGGAAGGTTGGTTCAACAAAGGCAAATCAATAAATCTGATTCATCACGTAAACATAACTAAGGACAAAAACCACATGATTATCTCAATAGATACAGAAAAAGCTTTCGATAAAATTCAACATCCTTTCATGTTAAAAATTCTCAATAAACTAGGTATTAAAGGAACAGAACTCAAAATAATAAGAGCTACCTATGACAAACCCAAAGTCAACATCATACTGAATGAACAAAAGCTGAAAGCATTCCCCTTGAAAACTGGCACAAGATAAGTATGCTCTCTCTCACCAATCCCATTCCACATAGTACAGGAAGTTCTGGCCAGAGTTATCAGGCAAGAGAAAGAAATAAAAGGCATCCAAATAGGAAGAGAGGAAGTCAAACCATTCCTGTTTGCAAATGACATGATTCTATATCTAGAAAACTCCATTGTTTCAGCCTGAGAGCTCCTTAAGCTTACAAACAACTTCAGCAAAAATTCAGGATACAAAATCAATGTACAAAAATCACTAGCATTCCTATACACCAACCACACCCAAGCCAAGAGCCTAATTAGGAGCATAATCCCATTCAAAATTGTCTTAAAAGAATAAAATAACCAGGAATACGGCTAACCAGGGAGGTGAAAGATGTCTCCAATGAGAATTACAAAACACTGCTGAATGAAATCAGAGACGAAACAAACGGAAAAACATTCCATGCTTATAGTTAGGAATAATAGGAAGAATCAATAGTCATAAAATGGTCATACTGTCCAAAGTAATTTATAGAGAATTTCTTAATGTCCTTGAACCATTACGTTTCCTAGTTTTTTTTTAGAGACTGTGTGTGTGTTTGTGTGTGTGTGTGTGTGTGTATTCAATATTCTGACAGTTTACAACTCTGCCTTAGCCTTTACTTCTTGCTTGTGCAGAACCCCAGTGCTCCCCACAGACTCCCAGTGAGAGATTAACACCTTATCAAATCTTTCCTGGGTATGCCCTCAGCTCTGCACATATGCATGAACTTCTAATTTCCTAGATATATGTTGGAGTTTTTCAAAACCCCTTATAGACATCTCATTTCTAGCTTCTCCTTTTAAGTTTTTTGATCTGCCTCTTCTGTCTCAGCTCTTGTTGCTGACTCAGACAGCTGTGATGTTAAACAACTGCCACTGATTCTTCTTTTTCTCTTCCTCCTCCTCCTCCTCCCTCTCTCCTTCCTCCTTCTCCTCCTCTTCTTCTTCCTTCTCTTTCTCTTCCTTCTTCCCCTTAACCCTTCCCTCTTCTCCTTCTCCTTCTTCCTCTTCTTGACAAATGCACCAGGAGAATAGTTGTTCATACTGAGCAAGCTCTGAGTCAGGATACATAAAGATAAACATTGTGAGTAGGTGTTTTCCGGGAATTTTTAGTCAGGTCAAATAATGGCAGTTCTCTGGGAACTAGGCTTTTATTGAGCTTGAAACCCATTCTGTTGTGTCCACTGGCTGCTTGGCTGCTGGTTTCATAGCTACCATGATTGTGAGGCTGTTGGTTTCCAATGCTACCTAAGGACTAGGGAGAAAGAAACGGAAATAAGTTAAAATGACAGAAAAATATTGTTGTAACTGAAATTCTGTCTTTTTTTTAAATTAAATATTTCTTGTAATGTTGCATGCTCTTGGTTAAGTCCCAGATCTCTGAAAAAAAAAATAAGTTTTGACAAGTGTTTCCAGTGTGCTTGTTTCTTTTATGGAGGAGTGTGTTTCAGAGCTCTTTACTTGAACACTCCAGGAATATTTCTCCCTGCCCAGTAACTTAGGAAACAGAGTCCATTCTTTTGTTGGTTGCTGTCAGTTAGCTGAGGTAATTAGGTGACTTGCCATCTTAATAATTATAATTAGAAAACAGAAAGATGAATACAGGACTAGAATTGCCATTGGTTTTTTTAAAAAAGGGTAACTCATGTTAGATGTAAAAAAGGAAATAATTTACTTTTTTTGTGGTTGCAGAGTGTCCTCCTTTCTGTATTATTTCAGATATAATCATAGAGTGGTCTTCTTCTCTCATTAAATTATGCTTATAGTGTAGCATTTTCTGAGTATTATTTATATTCTAAGAAGGTTGTTTATATTCATTTGAGTATACTTTGCCCTAGCTTTCACAGTTTCTGACCCCACAGAAATTCCAAGGCTGTTTACCATCTTATAAGTGAGAATGCCCTTTCTCATTGCATTGATTGGCACACCGGTCCCCATTGCCACTCCTTCCCCCGACTACTTTTGAATTTCTTCAATGACTTCTTTATATAAGTTAGCAATATTATTCCATCTGTTAGGTTTCAGTGTCTTCCCCTCCACCAGGAAATATAGAGTTTAGATTTTTGGCAATTCTCTTCCGATTGGCTGAAATAGTCTATTATATTATGTTTGTTAGAACTCTGTAGTTTTTGTTTATTTTACTAAAGAACTGCAAATAATAAAACACTTAAGCTTTTCCTTTTTCTCTTTCCCCATATCAACATATCCCCTTCTCTATTCCCCGAATTTTGAAGAAGAAATGTTAATTTTTCTATGGTATTAAAAAAAAGAGAAGCTTCCGAAACAGTCTGAATTACCTCGATTGATGGAAGAAGTTCATGCTCTCTACTTTAAAACTTGGAGCTTATTTGGTTTATAATGAAGGAAAAATGAACGTCTAACATATAAACTTCTTTGGTTGGGAAATTTACCTTATAATTTAAATTTCTATAAAATACCTTCAGGAAAAGAAAATGGCTTACTTACGCCAAACCAGTAGTAACTTAATCAACAACTCACTTCAGAAGAAATAATTTTGAAAAAAGTCTCTTCATATATACATAAATAGCCCTCTCTTTAGGGCGGATTTAATGTTGGTCCAATCCGTGGAGGCAATAATTATAGTACTAATGTCACCTCTCAAAGAGTGAGGTCAGACTTTGGATCTGGTTTAAGGGAGAAGACCACATTCCTCACAAGGTTACAAGCAATGGGGTGGGGGTTTTTCAGAGTACAGTTAGTGACTTCTCTGTCCTCTAGTGATGAGTGATACCCAAAGAAATGTTATTGCACCTATAGGAAAAAAAGCTAAAAAAATGAAGCCGTGGCTGGGCGTGGTGGCTCACGCCTGTAATCCCAGCACTTTGGGAGGCCAAAGTGGGTGGATCACCTGAGGTCAGGAGTTTGAGACTGGCCTGGCCAATATGATGAAATCCCATCTCTACTAAAAATACAAAAATTAGCTGGGCATGGTGGCAGGCACCTATAATCCCAGCTACTCAGGAGGCTGAGGCAGGAGAATCCCTTGAACCCGGCAGGTGGGGGTTGCAGTTAGCCGAGATCGCACCATTGCACTCCAGCCTGGGTGACAAGAGTGAAGCTCCGTCTCCAAAAAAAAAAGCCCCAATTACCTCATGTTTTAAAACTTTCAGGAGATTCAAAGTTGAGAGTTTCTAGATTTGTTCTACTATTGATTGAGAACACACTATTGGCCAAAAATAGTACTAGGCACTTTTCATATGTTATCTTATTTAATCACTGCTACAGCCCAATGAAGCAAATTTTGAAATCCCTATTTCATGTGATATAACTATGAGAGAGTTTAAGGCACTTAAAGTTTTTGAGCTGGCAAATAAAACAGAGCTCTGATGAACACTAAAGTCTTATTTCAAATTCTTTATATCAAAATATCTTGCAGTTTCCAACAAAAGCCATAGTCTTCTATGGCAACTATAGAAAAAAAACAACTCCTGTGGAGGTGCAGAAACAAGTGAGAGACTCAACCACACTGGCTGTACTGAAATCTCAATTGTTTCTAACTGGGGGACTGAAAAGAGGCAATGGACAAATGATGAGGAAGTCTAATGAGCATCAAAATGGAGGAAGCAAATATCTTCCTAGTTGAAGGGGTAATACACATGCTCAGAAGCTACAGATCAGGAAGTGGCTAGTCCCAGAGTCGATGAGCAAGAGAGCAGTGGGTACACGAAGGATCCAAGTGAGAGAATACAAGGTTAATTAAGGTCCACAAACTCGTCTGCAGAAGCATGCTTTGGATTTGTTACACATGTGTTGTGATAATGGATTGATGAATTAAAAAGTACAAGATTTGGGAGAATACAATCCATAACTAATTGGATATTGAGAGAAACACTTTCAGATTCAATTAATTGAATGAGTTTAAGTGACCATGTATTTTTTTTAATTAAAATGCCTGTTTGAAGAACTAGAGAGATAACTGTTTCCTAGATTCCTTTTGCAAAGTGGCCATATTTTCTGAACAAAGAAAATGTACCTATTGATAATCCTTAAAAATTTATTAGTTTATTTAAAATATTAACTTTAGTTATAAAATAAATGATTTTCCTGTCGCAAAACAATACCTGAAATTGAGAGGGCTTCCTGAAAAATTTGTGACATACAAACTTACAAAATTATAGATACAGTATATTCCTGAAATGTGCAACTGTATACTATCTGCTTGATAAGCAATGAAACGCAGTACCTACTCTGATATTAGAAGAAGACTTGCAAAAAGTTAGCAGAACTTTTACCCGTGGAAAATACTGAAATATAGAGTGCTTTTCAGCAGTAATCATGGGTAAGTTCAAAATTATTTTTTCAGAAGAAAGCAGGGTATAAACTGAAGCATTTATAAAGTTGGTTACAGTGAAATGACTAGAACAGACATTTGGCAACTCACCCTACGCACCCTAAATCATCATTTCTGTTTGGAAGTTAACAACTTATCTTTCCAAATGTCCAGGTTAACACACAGCCATCTTCACATTAAGAAGAACTGGAAGGTTGGCATGACAACTGAGTGAAATGTATAGGAAGCAAAATTCCCTCAGCAAAACACAGATCTGAGATTATTCTGACCGGCAGAGGTTACTGAAAATTGTTTCCCATGGCAATTTCTTTCTATATCAAGCTATTTTTAAAACCTGTGGGCTAATGTGCCTTGGTATATGTATACGTAAATTTTGTGTTAATTTTGAGGACACTTCTTGATAATTTTCAGCTATTTCATGTATAAGTAGTGCAGATAATGAAAATAAATACTTAAGTCCTTAGTAAATACTTAAAAATTATTATTTCTTATAGTGCAAAGTAGTCAAAAACAGTCCATATGAGGTTACATAGCTCGGAAAAAAAAGATTAGAATATAAGATGACTAGAAATGGCTTGCCTATCTTAGCTAGTAAAAGAAGACAGCTACCAGTGTGGAATGACTTAACAGCTGAAAAATGGTTTTCTCCAACACTCTCCAGTTCACCAACCTGTCTAAAATTTAAGCATCATAGAATCATGGACTCAAATAATTATCTATGCTCCAAGTGACCTTAGAAATCGACCTCCTTCATTTCTCATGGTTTCTCATGGTAAACCATGAGAAAATGGGGCTCTAGAGAATTTAAGTAAATGTTCAGAGGTCATATAATTTGTAGCACATAACAGTTATTGATTTTCTTATTACCAACCACTATTATTATATTCTGTAGGTGTATGGCAACCACAAAGCAGCTATTTGCTAAAATAAGATGTTATATTTATTTTTACCCCCAAATGGTCAACATTACCAACACTGTTCTTTCTTCTTTTTGCCATTCCTTTTGTTTAAATTCAATGATATTTAGGTATATTTTACTTATATCTCAAGCTCTAACTCAAATTCAACCTAGTTCATTAGGTATTCTACATCAGCCCTCTCAAGTACTCTCTTTTGTATGAACATCTATATATGTTTGATGATGTCTGTCATTTGTCATTTGCCACCCATTGCCAGATAGCATTTCTTGAAATGCCAGCTTGCAAATTTGTTTAACTGCTCTTATGAATTGGCCTTGTCTTGCCCCCTAAAAATTCTAAGATCTCAAAAATTAGAATCAGTGTTTATGGCTTATTTGTGGCCACATGCTTAACATGAGAAAAAGGAGGCCTAGAGATATGAAATTACTCTGGTGGCAATGCAGAGATTGGATTGGAAAGGAGCAAAGTTGACATAGGGAAGACCAAATAGAAGACTTAATTTGTTTACTTGTCAATACATTTTATATCAACAGATGATAAATCTAACATAGATCAATAAAGTTCTGGATTGGACAAGAAATTAAATGCAAATGAAATCACAAGAGACTACAAATAAAATTGTACTTAAGCTAGGGAATTGTTGCTAAGTATAAATGCACAGGGATAAAACATAAAGAAAATTCCTGGTAAATGTGAGCACCTTTTTAAAAATTCTGATAAAATGCTTTAATTACCATAAACAACTTAAATGGAAGCAGTTTTTTAAATATGTAAAATTTCAAAATGTTAATATCCTGATTAACAAAATGCCTTCAAAATATACAATTATACTTTTAGATAATGAGAGAAAAGTTTCAAAGAATATGTACAAGAATATCATACAATAAGAAGTACATGTGGTTAAATAATGTGTGAAAATATTCAGTTCCATGTATTTTAAAAATCACATTAATATACCAATATTTAACTGATGGGAATACATTTTTACTAATTCCCTGGAAGTTAATATTCAAAAATATTTAAAATGTGTACACTATGTCATCCAGTAATTATAATTCTATGAATTTCTCTTAAGAAAATAATCAGATATGTGAACAAAGATTTGAGGACAACAATATTCATGTCAGTATTCTTAATCATATACAAACCTATAAAAACAATCTAGATACTCATTGGTAGAGATTCATTATATAAGTCAGCATGACCATATGAGGAAATGTTGGATATCATTATGATCATGTTTTGGAGGAAATATTTAATGATATGAAAAATTAATACAAAGTTGAGTAATAAATATTGATATACAAAATTATAGAGAACATTATTCTGAGCATACAGGTGCATGTCCCCAGTTACTATATTTTTACATTAGTCTGTATACTTTTTCATGTTTTCTAAAGCCATGTAAGTTAACATGTTATTTTAATTATGAGGAATAATAATCACAAACATGTTGATTTGATAAATGAAAATCAGTTCTATTGCTGAAAAAGCTTGTATTTTAATGAAGTGAAGCATTATGTTGGGTCTAAACTAAATAAATTTTATAGCTAGAGTATGTTAAGAAAAAAAAAAGACAATTGGACTATCTTTAAAAAATTCTTTAATTTTTTGCATCCAAAATATTTTTAATAAGAAGGTAGGATCCAGGGTTAGTGTTGGTCACCGCAGCTGGCCTGTTGACCACTGGCAACTTTGTTACAAGTTTTCTCAGCAACATTTTTTACATATAATGACCTTGATTAGAATTTATAGTTACCATGACCTCATCACTTATTCATTTGTAAACCATTTCTTAAATTATTTTATTGGACTATTGGTAAGTCCATATGTTGCTTGCAGTTTTGTTAGGTTGCCTCTAAGACAGCAATTTTTTTCATCACATAACAGAATCAGTTTACACTTAAATCGTAATCCCTACTCCTCTGCCTAACCTGCTAATTTATTCTATACCTGGTACAAGTACTGAGTCTCTTGAATATTGTCAAATGGATTAACTACATGGGAATAATCTTTCAGGGTACTAAAGTTGAACCCCACCTGTGAAAGGCAATACATATTATATTAGGCAAAATATAAAGGCTTCAAGTCAAGTTTTTTTTTTTTTTTTTTGAGACGGAATCTCACCCTGTCGCCAGGATGGAGTGCAGCGGCACGATCTTGTCTCATGGCAAACTCCACCTCCCAGGTTCAAGCGATGTTCCCACCTCAGCTTCCAGAGTAGCTGGGATTACAGGTGCATGCCACCATGCCCAGCTAATTTTTGTATTTTTAGTAGAGATGGGGTTTCATCATATTGGCCAGGATGGTCTCGATCTCTTGACCTTGTGATCTGCCTGCCTCGGCCTCCCAACAAGTTAAGTATTTGTTTACGTGCCATTTAGTAACTATATAACCTTTGGAATTTAAGCAATCTCTCTAAGTCTCAGTTGCCTCAACCAAGAAGAACAATAATATCACCTTCATAGGGCTATTGTGAAGGTTAAAATATAAAAAAGCAAGGAAGTGTCTAAGTTTTCCGTGTCATCACTTCATTATTTTGAATTCTTAATCTGCTCACACCTGTATAATTAGAGTATCAAAATGGTTAAAACTGGTGTGAATAATTTGAAAATTTATTTTTAGAACATTCAATAACGATATTTAGATGACTGGATACCCCTTTAAACTATATATTAGATAGAAATTCCTTATTGTTTATATAAAGTTTAATCATTTGCATTTTGAAAGAAAAAAAGTGAGTCATGAAAAATATATACTAAAGGAAGCAGGTATTAAATATGCAGGTCTCTTGAGCAAATTTCACAAAATGGTGTCAGATTGTGACAGGGAAAGCATGCTTCCCTGCAGTCTCCATGCGTATGTCAGACAAGCCTAGCTGCTGCCTTAGTATATTTTCTTATCTTTCCATGCCATTTTTAATCATATAAAAACCACTACAATATTGACATATGCTAGATCACAAAGCAAAAAATAGAACATATTAGAACATATAAAACACAGACAACCCAGAGAAACCGGAGCCAAAATCTTCCACAGTTAGATCTGTCTTTTCTTTAGGTTTCTGGAAAGCATGCTATAACTATTCTCAGTAACTAGCCACTGGAGTCATATTTCCAAGCAGCATTTACAGAGTACAAAGCAATGCATGGTAGTTAGAATACGCATGAAGAATAACTAGTCTTTTATCTCCGTACAATAGAGTGTTTGCACTATGAGAACAATCAAAATGATACTACATTTAAGGAGTAATGGCGAGCAAGAGCATTAGACCATCAGACAGAATACCAGTGATTCCATAATATATTTTACAGTGAGGAAGTGTGGCATGATCATATAGGAAGATAGCTGATTTGCCAAGGCAATAGGAACTGCCAGCCGATGAAGAAATGAGTGGAGGATGACGAAATGTGAAATCAACAAAGGTACTACATTGCATTCCAATGTGATTTTTCCATCCCAAAGAAACTTTATTCCTCCCGAGTGCCACAGGCAAGAGTTACATTTCAGAGCCGGACAAAAAACAAAAATCTGCATAAAACTTTAACCTTTTTGAAAAATGGCAAAATACCTATTGCTATAAGAGGAAATTAGGAGACATTTCACAGTTTAAAATATGGTTATTGCACAGATCTACAAAAAAATTCATCTCTGTAGGCTCTATAGTCTATTAAGTAACTACAGTACTGTGTTATAATCAGAACCACATTGACAAGGCCAGTTGAGGCAGTAATTGTAATTCTTACAGTGGGTTCTCAGGCAAGGCTCCTGTGACAATGACAGTTATCTGATTTTACTATGTACCTTCCTGCTCCTTTGACTTTTTCCTATACTCCTCTCCTACCTGCCAGATGGTAGCCATTCTTCAAGACCCAGTCCATGTGTCATATCCTCTGTGAAGACTTCTCTCAAGACAAGCAGGATGAATTAATCATCCCTAGTCCCCTGCTTCGGTAATACCACCTGCCCATGTCTCCCTGCCTCTGTTTGTAATCCTCATGATTCTGTTACTCTTCAATGAACTTAATAACCATATTCATCAGTGCATGCCCAATGTCAATATGCAATTTGCCAAACACTGTGCTAACAATTAATGACTATTTGTAACAAGAATGATTACAAGTTTCAAATGGGCTATCAAATGACTAAATGGGTAAATCTGAAAGATCTTGTTTCTCCAAATCTGTTCAGACTAGGCATCACTCTGGCTTCCACCCATTCTGTCTGGCTGCCCAAGGAGGACATTCAGACTCTGAGCGTTTTGCAGCCCTGCATCAACGTGAGATGCTGTGGGTGAGGTTGAGTGGGTCAGAAGGCACAGAGGACAGCTCAAATGAGTAGCCTGGGAAAAAGAAGTAGGGCAAACCGGTGGGATGAGAAAGGTGACAGGAAGGACAAGCTTTTTGATGAGAAATAAGTCCAAGAGGGCCTGTAACACTAGTTCAAGTCTATTCAAATTAAACGCAGTCAATCTCCGTTAAAATGTTGGAATATACACTGAAGGAGACAAGCAAAGGCAATGGATATAAATAATTGCTATTTTTTTAATAGGGTGAGGGATATGTATCAGGTCTCCTGTTGTTTCAGGAAAAGCCCCCTGGCCTTGCATGTAGTAACAACATAATGATTGATGGTTTGCATCCTTTCTTCTGTGGAAAAACCAGAGTGGTGGAAAGTATGTGAGATTAGGTGTCAAATGAGAATTTGATTTCTAGCTCTAGTAGTAAAATGACTTTAGAAAATTTGCCTACCCGCTCGCATCCACACTTGAAACATTTTCAGATGAACACTGATATCCAGCTCCAGCAGTTGTTGTGAGGATTCAATGAGATGCAGTGTGAAAGTGACTTAGCATAATGCTGGCGTGTATCCTGAGCTCAACACCATCTTCCTTCATCACTACCCCTTCTGTTCCTTTATTTCATTTATTGAAATCTGTATTTATTTGTTTGTTTATTTTACTAACTTGATATCTGCACATGCTTCAGGGAAGAGAATGATTTAACTTGCTGTCTACATAAGTAGATGAGCTTCATCTTAAAGCTTTTCAAAATAAATTTGTTCCTATTACATTATGAAAACAATTTTGGTGATACATGAAGCAGAGTTGGGCCTACAGAAGGATTTCAGTAAATATGCATTGATTGATTGGTTGACATGGCATGGTTTGAGAAAACAGCAGACATACGAGACACATAAAACATGAATCTGGGCCAGGTGCAGTGGCTCATGCCTATAATTCCAGCAATTTGGGAGGCTGAGGTGAGTGGGTCACCTGAGGTCAGGAGTTCGAGACCAGCATGGCCAACATGGCGAAACCCCATCTCTACTAAAAACACAAAAAATTAGCCTGGCGTGGTGGTGGGTGCCTGTAATCTCAGCTTCTTGGAAGGATGAGGCCGAAGAATCGCTTCAACATGGGAGGCAGAGGTTGCAGTGAGCCAAGACCATGCCATTGCACTCTAGCTTGGGTGACAGAGTGAGACTCTGTCTCCAAAAAAAAAAAAAAAGTATTTGTCATCACCCATATCATTTCTTTGTTATTGCTCTTGATGCAATCTCTTAAAAGCCACTTTCTTATCTCCATATCTTTCATACATTTTACATGAAAGCCTCAAGTCTTAAGGAAACCTTTTAAACATTTCCAAGAGTAAACATAAAATCTCCTCCAAACAGCCTCAATTTTGAAATATTTACAAAACCATTATAATACAATTGTTTTATTACTCCATGTTTGACTCTGTGTCATTATCTTTAGTTCCTTGGTCTCTTTTCCCCACTTCTAATGTAATTTCTCTTTAATCACATTCTCTAATTTGCCTTTTCTTTTCCAATCAATTATCACTATCAGCCTCAGTTCTTATCACCTTCTTTTAAGAATATTTTGCAATTCTTTCTTCATAATTTACCAAATATTTATTGATTTTGTATTATATGCCAGACCCACTTCTGACTGTTGAGAAAACAACAAAGAATAAGATAAACATAATTTCTGTCATCAGAGAATTGTACAAAAATATAAGATTGTAGCAGGATAAAAAGACAGATATATGCATATTTATGCTATAAAAACATAAGATACAGAGTAGTGGAGGAGAGGGAGATGGTGGAGCCACTTTAGATAGACTGAACAAAGAGAATTATTTGAGGAGATGAGTTTTGAGCTGAGACATGAAGAGAATGGGCCAGGAGGAAATCATTGGGCTAGATGAGATTGGAGGAAAGGGATTTATCCTTCTGGTTTTCTCTAATTGATGTAGCCTTAGGCTGGCTGGAGTTTCTTCCTCCCTTAATCTCTTCATGGCTAATGGTGACAGCTTTGCTGCTGCTACTAGCTCCAGGTACCTGAACTATCTCTTGTGGCTTCCCCACTCCTCACCCTACCTTTGTAATTAGTCACTTTGTAAATTAAATCTCCTCAAATTTTCCTAATTTTAGTGTGCCATCTGTTTCCTGCTGACTCCCTGATGAATAGAGTAATTTGTACTGAAATGGCTTCAGGAAAGAGGGCTTCAATATTGGATTCTGATATGGTGTTAGTCATATATTTGAGTACTGCAGGATAACCTTGCTGGGTAAGGGAGGAGATGAATGTGACACAGGTGGGACACAGGTAATCTATGCTGTGTGATGACATCATGATTACTCAAATTATCACTGGGGGCAGCATGAGATGAAATGCAGATAGAAAGCACAAGGAGATCAAAGATCTGAGTCACTTCATTGTTACACAGCAATAGTGATTATGGAAATCTCCTGGCTTCTCCTACTGTATTTTAAGAATGTACATAAGAAAAAATATATAAGAATTATTAATAAAATTTAAAAGCATATGTGGATAAACATAAGGTCACTATGATTGCAACTTTAAATCATGTTTTATAACTACAAGACAAATATGGCTGAGGTCCAACCACTGTGTCTGTTTGGAAGCTGTTCACAGTTGCAGCATGGCTTCAATACTCTATCATACCACGGTAATATGAGAAGACCAGTCACTACAGGATGGAATGTTAATCTATGCTATAAGATCATTGAGGCATTTATGAACAGTGCTGAAATCTTGCGTCTTAAAATATTGTCTCCTTGTGGAGGTAGCCACCCTTTGCATAAAAGCCTTTAAGTGGCACATGAGTTACTGTTGATCCTTCTCAGGACTTAGTCCCACTCATTGCCTCCAGACTTATAGGAAACTTAGAGAAAAGTAAGACTACTTGGGAGCAAATTGTTGATCATTTAAATAGCTTTTTAAAAATATTGCTAATTAGTATTTCTAGTTCTAGATCCTTGAGGAATTGCCACACTGTCTTCCACAATGGTTGAACTAATTTACACTCCCACCAGCAGTGTAAAAGCATTCCTATTTCTCCACATCCTCTCCAGCATCTGTTGTTTCCTGACTTTTTAATGATTGCCATTCTAACTGGTATGAGATGGTATCTCATTGTGGTTTTGATTTGCATTTCTCTGACGACCAGTGATGATGAGCATTTTTTCATATGTCTGTTGGCTGCATAAATTTCTTCTTTTGAGAAGTATCTGTTCATATCCTTTGCCCACTTTTTGATGGGGTTGTTTTTTCTTGTAAATTTGTTTAAGTTCTTTGTAGATTCTGGATATCAGCCTTTTGTCAGATGAGTAGATTGCAAAGATTTTCTCCCATTCTGTAGGTTGCCAGTTCACTCTGATAGCAGTTTCCTTTGCTGTGCAGAAGCTCTTTAGTTTAATTAGATCCCATTTGTCTATTTTGGCTTTTGTTGCCATTGCTTTTGGTGTTTTAGTCATGAAGTCTTTGCCCATGCCTATGTCCTGAATGGTATTGCCTAGGTTTCTTCTAGGGTTTTTAGGTGGGAGTTGAGCAATGAGAACACATGGACACAGGGCGGGGAACATCACACACTGGGGGCTGTCAGGGGGTGGAGGGCTGGGAGAGGGATAGCATTAGGAGAAATACATAATGTAAATGACAAGTTGATGGGTGCAGCAAACCAACATGGCACATGTATACCTACGTAACAAACCTGCACATTGTACACATGTACCCTAGAACTTAAAGTATGATAAGAAAGGAATTATATTAAAAAACTAAAAAAAATATTGCTAGTTAGTATTGGCAGGAACCTGGGAAACATGTGGGAAGTGGATTCTCTGGGTGTCATACCAAGAGAGAGAAAATATAAGACTCAGTGCAGCAATATCCATTGATATTATGTGCTTGTATTGATGCTGGTGTAAACAAACCTACTGTGCTGCCAGTTGTATAAAAATATGGCATATAAAATTATGTATATTGCCTAATCCACGAAAATGACAATAAACAATGTCAGGAGCTATTTCAGAAGACGGCATTGCTACCATAGCGCATGGCAGCTCCACTAAGTGTTATTGCCCATCAAGAGCTTCCAGTGAGAAAAAATATGGAGGTGGAAGATGCTGATATTGATGGTCCTGACTCTGTGAGGGCCCAGGCTAATATGCGTGTTTCTGTCTCAGTTTTAAACAAAAATTTAAGAAGGTTAAAAAAATAGAAGAAAAGCTTAAAGAATGAGAATATAAGAAAAAATATTTTGCACAATTCTATACTATGTTTGTGTTTTATAATAGGTATTATCACAAAAAGTCAAAAGTTAAGAAAATATGTTTATAAAGTAAAAAATGTTACAGTAATCTAAGGTTAATTTATTATTGGAGAAAAAATATTTTTCATAAATTCAGTGTAGCCTAAATTGTACAGTACTTATGAAGTCTAGAGTAGCGTAAAGTAATGTCCTAGGCCTTCACATCCACTCACCACTCACTCCCTGACTCATCCAGCACAAACTGCTCTCCTGCAAACTCCACTCATGATAAGTGTTCTATGCAGAAATATCATCTTTTATCTTTTATATTTTTATTGTATGTTTAAAGTTTAGGTACACAAATACTTAACCATTGTGTTCTGATTGCCTACAGTATTCAGTACAGTAACACACTGTGTAGGTTTTGTAGACTAGGAGCAACAGGCCATACTCTGTAGCTTAGGTATATAGTAGGCTATCCCATCTAGGTTTGTGTCAGTACACCCTATGATGTTTGTTGGATAACACAATATGACATATCCCTGTCATTAAAGGACACATGACTGTATTTGGAAAACAGCTCCTGGCTTGCTACTGGCCTGATAGAAACTGAAGAGTGGCAGACTTTGAGATATCAAGTGACTACAGAACTCATATTTAATATCATGAACTGGGTAATATAGAATCTACCAAATCATATAATTATATATGCACAATAGCATTTTAACATAAAATAGAAGCACTCTCTATGTAAGATAGGCCTGAACATGTCCAAAAGTCAAAAGGTATTGGTAGAGGTGGCTACTTCTGGAAGCTCTGAGAAGAAACTCTCTCATGAGTCTCTCCTAGTTTCTTGTGGCTTTCAGCAACCCTTGGTATCCTTGGATTGTGAGTGTCATCCAACTCTCTGCCTTCATCTTCACATTCCCTTCTCTTTGTCTTGGTGTGTCCTTTTCTGTCTCTATAAGGATGTTGTTATATTTAGAACCTGCCCTAATTCAGTATGATCTCCTCTTGTTCCTTTTCTAATTACATCTGCAAAGACCCTATTGCCAGGTAAGGTCACATTCCATTTGTACATAAATTGTGAGGGGATGCTATCCAGCCTACTATATCACATATTTAGAGGGAACATACTTAATGGCAAATAAAGTACACCAAAGGACCCAATTCTATGGAACACTCTGGTTACTAAATGCCCCATCATTCGGGACATCTAGCTTGATAGAATGGTGGAACAGTCTCATAATACTAATGGGCTGGGAGTTCTGCTCTTTTCAAGGGAATGTTTCTTATTTCCAATAGGTTAATCTGCTCACCTAATAGGAAATCACTGACAACAAACAGGGTATTAATCCTTGTAGTTAAATCTTTGTCTTTAAATAAATAAAATCAAATAAATGTTTAATTCCTAGGAAATAAATGAGGTCCCTCCAATTGAAAATAAATGGAAATAAGAAAGGTAGAGGATAATAAAGATAACAAATAAGGGCAGAGATAGAGGAGCTGGAATTGGACTCACAAAGGGAATACAATGGGCAAGGTAATAAAATGGTGGAATAAAGTATTGGATATGAATGGGGATTGTTGGGGCCACAAAATAGGAAAGGTGAGCACTTCATTTTTTTTTTTTTGCTCCTGACCCAAAAGCTGAGGACTTCTTGTGTGTTAGCCTGTCACTTGCAAAGTAAGAGAAGTGGGAATACAGTGATAGTCTACGTATTTATTATTGCCATATTTTTCCTCCTTATCTTAGGGCTTCAGGTTAACTGGCATAGTATGGATACATATGTAAATGTTCTTCACCATAATTATTTAAATAGAGGTAACAATTCTTTCTGCAGTTTTTATGCAGAGATTGTATAATAGTAAATAATCCAAAATCCAACAAAAGTAGTTTTGTTCCCAGCAATGATCAAAAAAATTTGCTATTCTTCTCTCTTAAAACAAAATAAGTTAGATAAAATAAGAATACAAATCTGGTTCAAACCATTGGAGAGCTTCCAAGGCAGTGAGAACTCCTGATTTTGAAGATCACAAATTTCCAGAGAAGTGAGCTAGACCTTTGGGGCCACTCATCCCTGAGGGCACTTATCAATTTGAAAGAAGTAGCTGGAGGATGGGAAGCTCTGCAAAGTTTTCAGCTGAATAACAGGGCTAGGGGAACAAATGCTGGGTTACAGGGCTGGCTGATGAGGAGTAGCCCTAGTAATGACACAGGATGTCAGTGGAGTTCCCAAAATTCTGATTCCTAACAGCAGGCTGCAGCAGAAATTAGCAAGCACTCAAATGAACTGAGGCCCAGCTTTTAAACACTTCAATTATTGATTTGATTAATATAATCACGGAACACAATAGAGAACATGGATACAGACCCACATATATATGAACAATGATTTATGAAAAAGATTGCACAAAGAGCAGTGGGAAAGGCATGAACTTTTTGATAAATGGTGATGGATTCACTGAATATCCATATTGGAAAAATTAATACTGACTCTTATCCATATTGTACCCCAAAATTAATTTCAGATAGTGTTAATTTAAATGTGAAACATGGAAGAAGAAAATATCTAGAAAAAATTTAGAAAAATATCTGTATAACCTTGAGTTAGGAAAAGATTTCTTAAACAAGACAAGAAAAAAGGCACTAATTATAGATGAAAAGATTGATAAATTGGACTGCATTATAATAAAAAAATCCTGTCCATTCACAAACATCATTAAGAGTGAAAAGTAAGGCAGAGGGTTGAAGAAATTTGTAATACATGAGAAAAAAATAGTTATTTGTGTATTCTATTAACTACTCCTACAAATCAGTAAGAACATTTGTTCACACAACTCAATAGAAAAAAGGCAAGAATCATGAACAGGCATTTCTAAATGGTCAATAAAGCGTTCAACCTGATTAATAATCAGATAAATGAAAATTAAACCATAAAGAGATACTGCTAACGACCTGCTCATATGACTAAGATAAAATAAGATTCAGAATTTCACATTAGGGAAAGAGAATTAGAACTCTCACATGCTATTGAGAGTAAGGTAAATTGGCACTAACACCTGGTAGTAACTAATAAAGTGAATATATGCATATACTTTGTTCCAGCTATTTTACTTTTATGTATATATCCAACAGAAATTCATCCATGTGCACACCAAGTGACATGAATGAGACTGTTCTTAGAGGTTTTATTTATAATAGCCCTGTTACTGGTGAAATTGTGCTCCCCAAAGAGAATGTGGAAGGGCTAACCCATAGAATATGACCTTATTTGGAAATATAGGGTTCTTAAAAATATAATTAATTAAAGTGAGGTCTTACTGGGTGGGTTCTTCATTCGATATGGCTGGTGTCCTTAGGAAAAGGGGAGACACACAGGGAGAAAATAGTTATGGAACTATGGAGGCAAAGATTGGAGTGATCCATTTGCAATGCAAGGAACGTTGGAGATTGCCAGCAAACACCAGAAGCTAGAAGAGGTTAGGAAAGTTTCTCCTCTACAGGTTTCATAGGAAGCATAGTCCTATCATTACCTTGATTTCAGGCTTCTATTATCCAGAACTTTGGACAATAAATTTCTGTTGTTTTAAGATATAATTTGTAGTTCTTTGTTAAAGGAGTCCTGGGAGACTAATTTAAGCCCCCAAATGAAAACAACCCAAATATCTATCAAGAGTAAAATAGATATATTATGCCATATTAGCAAAATAGAACACTATGCAACAATAAAAACAAATGAAATTCTGCTACATGCACAACCATAAATTTCACTTGATTACATTAAAAGATGGAAGAATATATAATGATGAGCACAGGGCACGAGGGTGACTTCTGGTGTTCCATTTATTAACATGGATGAGGATTATATAAATGTGTTCACTTTGTGGTAATTCATTGTATACTTTTTTACACTTTTGAATATTTATATTATAATTCTGCAATAAGTTAGTAAACACTCTCAATGGCATATTTGAAATTTAGTTCTTTAAAGTATAGAAATTTTTTTAAAAAATTTGACACAAAGTAAGACAAGTGTACTTAATTATGTCTTTCCTGAGAGTCTTCGTCTTGTGATGCTGCTACTGACATTTTACAGTCATACTACTGAAGTAATAGAGGATAGTAAGTTTTGGGGTAGAAGTGAAGCATTGACTCTATGGGTTAGTCCATCTTCAGAACATACTACCCACAATTCTTCTCAGCCTAAATAAAGTCCTCAGTCTTCCACACAAAGTTAGGATTATTTTGAAGTGTGGCTTACCTACCTGAGCCTACGTGCCAGACTGTGACCCTCCAAAGAAAAGCAGAGGCTACTAGAGTTTATTATTATTTACGTGTTGCAGGATTTCCTTTATATGACATTCTGGAAACAGTAAAACAACAGAAACAAAATAGTTGATTGCTTGCCAGGGCCTGCAGACAGGGAGGAATTGAATATAATGTTTGAGGGAACGTGTTAGGGTGATGAAACTGCTTCTTATCTCAATTGTGGTGGTGGATATATGACTGAATATGTTTGTCAAAACTCATAGAACTGTATACCTCAGTGAAAAAGAGTGTGAGAGGGTTGATGATACCCAAGAAGTGCCAGAAGTGGCCATAGAAGGACATCTTCTGGAAGCAGGGTTTGCCCAGTTGGAAAGGAGGTGCATTGGTCAAGGTTTTATGGCACTAGCCACAGTTACTGATGTTGTAGTTGCTTTATCTGCCATGGCCACTGATGCCTGCAATCCCCAGCTTTTTAAAAATGGCCCTCAGTTTAAACTATTGAAATCATTTACAAGTTTGGGGAAAAATGTCTCTAAATAAAAATTATTAATAGCTACAACTTAAACAGTGCTGAAAGAATTAGAAGGTCCTCTAAAGACTGTAAGGAAGTTCTGAGCATGTTGAGGAGATTGGTAATAGGGCTGTTGTTAAGAGCAGAGTCTAGAGTCACCTTTGTTTGGATTCAGCTTCCTCTTCCACTGTTCAATAGCTGGGTAAATTTAGGCAAACTATTTAATATTTGATTGCTTCTTAATATTAAAAAATCCTACTACCAAAACAATGAAACATACAATTCTATTTAACATGAAGAAATAACAACATTTAGGCTAAGACAAAGGAAAAACTTTAGGGTAAGGACAAAAGAAGAAAGTTAGGCTAAGAAAGACTAAATAAAGATAATGAGTTCACATAACAAATTGTGTTGACACAGTTGAGAGAGTTAAAATCTGATTTCAGAGCAATTTGAACCTGAAATGTGACCTTGCCATATTGTCATGCTGGGTTGCAACTTGCATATTACCTCCTATGATATGCTTTCCCTTGATTACCCAAATTTAAACTCCCTAAATGCTATGCACACTTCTGTCATAGTTCTCGTCACGCAATTTTGTTATTTATCTGTAACTATCTGTTAACAGATACCACAAATAGACATCAACATCTCTCTATAAACCCCAATAAACCAGGAGATTCTCTGGGCTAGAGATCTTTCTTACCTACATTCTGCATCTTCAGCATTGTGCCTGCACAAAATCAATGGTCAAAAGAGATGAGAAAACTCAATATAGTTGGATGAATTATCAGATGGCTAGAAATCAAAATATACATTCTATGAATTTAAAACATATACAAGTCTTGTCATTATGCCATGTTTCTAAAAGGCCTATGAACTAAGCTCTTATATGTGAAAATATTTATCCTGGCAAGAATTTTGATTGTTTGATGCCTTCTGTTTTAGACCAAGAACTCATTGGCACAAGAGATAAGCCAGAATTGTTACAAATTCCCAAGAAATTCCAAGAAGAAAATAATCTGTGAAACACTATATGATAAACTTGCACGTTGTTAAAAGACTATATTTAAATCAAAGGAAAAAGATTAAACATATAACTTTTAGTGGGTTGTAGAAAGGGGTATGGCTTCTAATCTGGTCTGTTTATGCAGTAATCAAATATATTTTCAAGGTCTACAGTGTTGGAACTGTAAAGTCTTTCCAATGTGAGAGAAAAGTGTTATATTATAATCAAAAGAAATGAAGGGGCTGATCCTGGAATTCCATATAGTTCTGCATTTTTTGTGGTTCCTAATCAATGGATTCATTTTGTTTTTAAATCTGTAACTTGGTTATTTTTATAACAAACTCTAATTTCCACAATGATGAAAACAACTTTGATGATGCTCTCTAGCTTACAGCTCTCATTATTACAATACAATACAAAGCATTCCTTCAAATTTTCTAAAACTGAACAATTATCCAAGTTGGTAATTTAGTAGTCAATAAGTAACTAAAACTACCCTAAATGTTAAAAGAGTTCATTAATTCTAGTCCAATATTATTTCAGTCTTTCTGCTCCATTGAATTCTTGTCTCACGACCAGGAAGAATTAGGTGGAGCGGGGGGACACCAGAGAGTCAGTGAAGTAGAATTTATTAAGTGAAAGGAAAGCCCTCAGCAAAGAGAAGGGTCCTGAAAGCAGGTTGCCGGTTACCCCCTTCACAGCTGAATACCAGGGCTTAAGGTGCAAATTCCTGGCAGCTCCACCCCGTTCTTCCAGTGCAAATGCAGGCCCTTAGTCTAAGCTGCTCCACATTGATTTATTTCCTTTATTGCACATGTGTTAAGGAATGGTATTTTTCACTGTGGGCATATTTAGGCAAGCCCCTCGTGTAAGTTCCTTTATCTACAAAAACACCCGTGGGGTAGGTCGGAGGTTCTCCGGGGACACTTCCCTTACTGTCTGCCTAAAGCAAGCTGGCTAACTCCTCTCAATATGCAGTTTCTCCCCCTTAGAGTTATATTAGATAATAAAAGTCATGTGTTGCCTAATGACAGGGGTATGTTCTAAGAAATGTATCCTTAGGATATTTTATCGTTGTGTGAAAATAAAATTGTACTTACACAAACCTAGATGGTAGAGCCTACTACACACCTAGACCACATAGTATAGCCTGTTGCTCCTGAGCTACAAACCTGTACATCATATTATACTGAATACTGTAGACAATTGTAAGTCAATTCTGTTTGCATATTTAAACATAGGAAAGATACAGTGAAAATATGATAGAAAGTATAACAAATGGTATACCTATATAGGGCACTTACCACTAATGGAGCTTGCAGGATTAAATGTTGCTCTGGGTGAGTGAGTGAGTGAGTGAGTGGTAGTGAGTGAATGTGAAGGCCTAGGACATCACTGTACACTACTGTAGACTTTATAAACACTGTACACTTAGCCTACACTAAATTCATCTTAAATATTTTTTTTCTTCAATAATAAATTACATTTGCTCACTGTAACTCTTTACAAACTTCCAATTTTTAAACAACTTTTTGGCTCTTTTGCAATAATATTTCATTTAAATCACAAAAACATTGTACAGCTGTAAAAATATTTTGTTTCTTTGCATAATTATTCTATAAATTTTATTTATTTTAACTTTTTAAACTTTTAAAAAATACTAAGACAAAAACACACACATTAGCCTAGGCTAACACAGGGTCAGGATTTTCAGTAACACTATCTTCCACCTCCACACCTTGTCCCACTGTAGAGACATCAGGGACAATAACACTTATGGAGCTGTCATCTCCTACGATAATAATACCTTCTGAAATATCTCCTGAAGGACCTGCCTGAGGCTATTTTACAGTTAATTTTCTTTTAAGTAGAAGGAGTACACTCTACTGTTTTGAAATAGTAATCATACCCACACAAGACAATGATCCATTTCCTTCTCCCAGTGTTTTGGCATATGTAATTTGTTGATCATATTTCTCCAGGGTTTATATTACATAACCCAACAAAATCACTCTAATGATAAAAGATATAGTATAGTAAATAGATAACACATTAACATAGTCATTTACTACCATTATCATGTATTAGGTACTGTACGTTATTGTATGTACAATACTTTTATATGATTGGCAGTACAGTAAGTTTGTTTACACCAGCATCACCACAAACAGAAGAGAAATGCATTTTGCTATGACATTAGGATGGCTGGGATGTCACTAGGCAATAGGAAATTTTTAGCTTCATTATAATAGATGGGACCACTGTTGAATATGCAGCGTGTCATTCACTAAAACATTGTTATGTGGTGCATGACTGCAATTAAAACAGTTTCATTTCAGCCTTGCACCAGATTTTCAGATTATCCAGAGTGAAAATGATAGGATCACTGATCTAAACACTTCTAAATCTGCCCATTCTTTAAACCATTTTAAAATCACTTTAATCATCTAGTATCTGAAATAAATTATAAATATTATAAACATGAATATGTCAATAACTTGTTAAGGAAATTTATAGCCATGTACTCAGTTTGTCATATAATTATCAACTAAAATTCATTTATAGAAAAATAAAATTAAATATGATGTTAAGATCAACTTAGTTACTAATATAACAGTGAGTAAAGCCCAAACCTCCCCTTTTAGCATGGAAGTCTCGGTCTTGGTACAAATTGAATATGTTGTTTAATATTTAATATCTAATAACAATAAAGGGCATAGCAAGTAGGAAACTCATAGCTTTCAGTTTAATTTAGAAAAAGTTGCTAGAGTCACTACTTTAATTAAGAAATCCAGATGGCTCCAGATTTCAGGCATGAAACGTGCTGCTACCTTGAGAGGTGGTGTCTTGGATAAGCTTCCTCTCTTAAAATCATCACAGATGTTCTCTACTAGAGAAAAACAGCCATAGAACACAACCAATATCTTATGAGAAACTCAATTTCTGAAGGTAAGTTGTATTAAGTTTCAGAGAGAGTTTCATATTATTATTAACTTACAGGGCATAATCTTAATATTATCTGGCATGTGTTTAATTGTTTAAGAACAATGATTTCTATTGCCCCAAATATTGTTTTTATTGACCTATTTTTTTCAAGTGCATTTCAGCACTGCAGAGTCTAGTCCTTTTAAAATAATAATTATATTCCCACAAGACAATGATCCATTTCCTCCTCCTGCTGTTTTGGCACATGCAATTTGTTGATTATATTTTTCCAAGATTTATATTAGATAACTGCAAAAAAAATTTCAATTGTTCAGTCTTTCCCAATTAAATCTACAGAACCTAGACCCTGTACTGATGCTTACAATCTACATACAAAGTTATAAAATACTAGGAGGAACTCAGAATGATCTCTAGGCTACTAGCTGTTGGGTTTATTGTTGCAGTTGTCATTGTTATTGTGGTTTTGTTAATTTTGTTTTGTCTTTGCTATTACCATCAGTGATAATTGTGAGAGTGCCAAAAGTGTCTCCCAGTGATGAATATAATATTTCAAAAGCAAAACTACTGCCTCGGATTTTCACTCCATCTACTTTTAAGCTTCAGAATCTCTTGGGTTTGTCTTCTCCTTTGTCTCTGTATTTAACCCTTGGACGTGATGACAGAGCTCAATTACTCTGGTTGTCTCTCTAGTGTCCCCAGGGACATAATCTGCACTTTCCCAGCGTTTCTGTCTGCAGAAACATCAGCATCAGCTGCAGAGATCCCACCCCTGCTTTGGCAATTGTAGCCTGCAATTAGCCCCTTCATGGGGGATGAGGAAGTAGGGGCCAGACCTCAGTGGGTGTTCTAATGAACTTTTTATTTTCTTGTCACTTGAGTATTCTTTATCATGTTATTTTTCCCATCATAAAATTGAATTGTTTTTCTGTTGTATATATAACTCTGTGCATCCCAATTATGATAGCTCATTTGGAAAATGTGACTGTATTCTTAATAGCATCTTTTATAGATTTAAACAATTTAACTTTTAAGATTAAAAATATCCCTAAAAGAATACTAAAATGAATCAAGTTCTTCACAATGATTTGAGAATAAATAAAAATATGAACAAGAAAAATGGCATGCAGTGAAATGAACACCATCCTGTAGATAGTGAACGTTTTCACACACTAGAGTAGAACGAGGACTAGAACACTTGACTTTCAGTCCTCTGTAATCCAATTCTAGTCTTTCCTCTACTGCTAAATAGTGTGGAACATTGAGCTAATTATTTCAGCATCACCAGGCTTTAATTTTTCCCCATTGTCATATGAGAAATTGAAGTAAATTATTTGTAAGGTTTTTTTCTAGTTTTAACATTCTACAATTCCAAAGTACATCGTCTTATAGTCATAAGTATGTATTAATGTGACCCTTATGATAATGGTAATCTAATTGCACTAGTTTCTAATACAGTAAGAAGCATTCACTGTTAGCTAATGTTAGGTAAATGAGATTGGTTTCTAAAAATGCAGAAGAACAAATGTAGGCACCAAGCAATAAACATTCCTTGGTAAATTTATTGATATATTAATGTATTTACATACTAAGACCAAAAAGTAACTGTAGCCATAAGCTCAGGAAAAAATGAATCTAGAGCATAATGAATCATAAAGACTGTAACGTTAACTTTAGAGACCCTAGTCCACTCTTTTTTTTTTTTTCTTCATTCTGTAGCTCTTCCTTCCACGTCCCTGAGGCAACCAGGTCTCTGATACATTTAATAATGTTTACACAATTAAACCCTGACTCAGAAAAGACATGATGAAATCAGTTACACTATTACTTAAACATTAGATGCTATCTTAATGTACTTCTGCTTTAAGAGCTTTCTGAATTTTAAAGTTGTCAAATATATAGAGGAATTCTACTCTTAGTGACATAACCTGAAAAAATTATTAAACATATGTATAGACATCATATATTAAAATGTTCAAGGAGCCATTGTAACAGTCAACAATTGTAAGCAATCTGTTTGTCAATAAACAATAGAAAGGCTAAATTGCAACATAGTCGTACAATGGAACACCAAGCAGAGGTGAAATAAATGAGAAAAAGCACATGTATCAATATAGATGACTCCCAAATATAATACTGAATAAAATAAAAGAGCAAGTTAAAATAGTTTTATAGAACAATATACTATTAAGGTTTAAAAACATGTACAGTAATGTAATATGATAGAAACTACACTTTTTATTGTATACATAAATGCACTTTAATCCATAAAATGCATATGGCAAATATCTATATAAATATTAAACACAGCCTGGCGCGGTGGCTCACGCCTGTAATCCCAGCACTTTGGGAGGCCGAGGCAGGCAGATCATGAGGTCAGGAGTTCGAGACCAGACTGGCCAACATGGTGAAACCTCCTCTCTACTAAAAATACAAAAAATTAGCTGGGAGTGGTGGCAGGTGCCCTTAATCCCAGCTACTTGGGAGGCTGAGGCAGGAGAATCACTTGAACCTGGGAGGCAGAGGTTTCAGTGAGTCGAGACCCTGCCACAGCACTCCAGCCTGGGCAACAGAGCAAGACTCTGTCTCAAAAAAAATAAAAAATAAAAATAAATAAATAAATTTTAAACACATGCAAAATTATACTGTGTATGTGTATACAGAACAAGAGATATCCAAGTATCTATACACATATTTATGTCTACATCTTAAAATTATATAATTTCAGTATGAATTGGGGTTATAGAATGTTAAGAGATAGACTAAGATTATTCCATCCTAACAATCTATAGATAGACATAGCTATAGATAAGTAGATGACAGATAAATAGATAGATAGATAGATGATAGAAAGAAAAATGTCAAACTATAACAAAATGTTTTAGTTAAAGTCTTATCTATGAAAGGGGAAGGGATGAGGAATCAACACAGTTTTGCTACATAGACATCTTCAAATTTTTTTAATGAAATATTGTGGTTTACTATATTTTATATCTCTTAATATGCCTGAAATGTCCTTAATATTTATAAATTTTCAGGATCGTGCAAAATACTTATATTTTAAGCACTTCCCCTAGAGAAGTCAAGGTGGGGTGGTGGTCCTAGTTCATATGCAGTTTGATGAAAAGATTGCCATCTATGAAGGCATGACCAGCTCTCTCACCTGCGTTTTGTGTAATACTGAGTATATGGTGGGTGAAATAAATGTTTACAAATGAATACAGAATATCATAGATAACTTTTTTCTAGTTAGACTCTCATTTTAAGACTAACAGGCAAATATACAAGCTGATACTCCTCAAGGTATGTTGACCGATATTTTTTCTATGAGACAATATTTTATATTTCCTATAAGATATTTTTCCTATTTTTATAATAATAAAAATATATGCTACTTTTTCGGCCTGGCACAGTGGCTCACGCCTGTAATCCCAGCACTTTGGTAGGCTGAGACAGGTGGATCGCTTTAGCTTAGGAGTTTGAGACTAGCCTGGGCAACACAGTGAGGTCCCCATCTCTACAAAAAATTAACCAGGCATGGTGGTACACATCTGTGGTCCCAGCTACTCGGGAGGCTGAGTTGGTAGGAAGGCTTGAGCCTGCAAGTTGGGGGTGGGTTGCAGTGAGCCGAGATCATGTCACTACACTCCAGCCTTGGCAACAGAGTGAGACTCTGGCTCAAAAAAAATAAAATAAAATAAAATTATACACACACACACACACAAACACACACACACACACACACACACACACACAATGTTTTGCTGCTTAGAAATTTCTTCCACCAGATATCCAAAATCTCAAGAGTAAAGTTCCACAGATCTCTAGAGCAGGAGCAAAATTCCACCAGTGTCTTTGCTAAAGCATAGCAAGAGTAAGCTTTGTTCCAGTTCCCAGTAAGTTTCTCATCTCCATCTGATACCTCTTCAGCCTGGGCTTCACTGTCCATATCACTGTCAGCATTTTTGTCACAACCATTCAACTAGTTTCTAAATATCTTTTGTAAAGAATTTATAAGTATTCAACATTACTAGTGTTAATACATATTACCAATCTTGATTTCTCTCAATTTTTTTCACATCACCAATTTCATAGAAAATATTACTTCTTTATATTCAAGGTGTTGAATTCATCCAAAATGAAATAAATTATTATATCCTGAGTTTTATCTTTGTAATTAAGCTTTGGGATTACCTAGCTCTGAGCACTGGATTTAATATATTATTATTTTTAACCAAAAGATTTCTATATCCTTATCAATGTACCCATGTAGTCTCAAAGTATAAGTAGAACATGTAGCATGATTCTGCACAGATAATTTTTAAAACATAACCATGAATTGATTATGAATTTGTGCTTTCATACTCTAATCAAATAACATCTAATGCAATATAAATTATATAACATTCTTTAAAATGTAATTTGTGTTAGGATGAAAGAGAACCGAAGTTTAAAAAATAAATGTAACTGTCTTAACGTATCAGAAGGAGAAAGTTCTGCAGATTTTATAAGAGAGAAATGATACAAACTTTAAGTCATGGACAGCAGGAACTGGAGCAAGAGTAAGTTAAGATATTTCATTATGTTGCATTGATAAAAAACAAATACCTTTGGAATGAAATACAAAGAAAGGCTTTTCTTGTTATCCACACCATTCTATTTTCCTTTCCCTTGTTTTCTAGGTATGATCACAAGAATCACAGTATGAACTTCAACAGATATAAAAACAAGGTTAGCTTGTCAAATAATGCTTGAAAGAAACTTGCTTTGGCAACAGATCTTATAAAAAAAGGTTTTGGAATTTTTAATTAACAAGATAAGTCTGAACAAATATGGCTTTTAAGAGGCTAGGGTAATCCTCAGCTGCAATAAGGGAATTCGAGCTCCAGAGCATCCATGTTAACTGAAATTTTCTGTTCAGTACCTGTTGAAACGTATTAAGAAAAACCTGGCACACTGGAATGATTTGCAAGTCCAGAAGAGGGTGCTCATGATGAGAGGATCTAATCATTATACTGTGAACAGCTAACTTAGGTAAGAGCTCATGATATCCAGCTTAAAAAAACCTAAGATAATTATAACAATTATCCTCTGGTATTTGAATGGCTGCCAGTGTGTTTGTTCAGTTCTGCTTCACAAATAAGAACATCATAAGTTGGTGGAAGTAATAGCTTTCAACTCAGAGTATGCGTGGCGGGTTGAATTTTTGTTCCAACTCTTCATTGCTCAATGTGTCCACACACCGGGTGAGATCTGGCAGCTCCTGTCACTAGAGGCAGTGTATATTTCCTTGCCTCATTGATTTTGAGCTTGTTTGGCCAATGAAATTTGGGTGGACATGACAATCAGCTAGTTTAGCACTTAGGCCTGAAGTGGTGTGTTTCTGTTTGCTCCTCTTATTCTTCTACCATTGGTACGTGAAGTTGCCACTGATGGAAGGAGAAGATAGCCTGGGCTATCCCAAACCAAACCTAGAACTTGGAACAAAATCGAATAACTCAGGCTAGTCTCCATGTTCATTGACACTAAAAGCTCTAAGATCCCTTTTTGTCTTCAGTGGTGCTTTTTTGGTCAACTCCAAATACACACTTTCACCTGGTCAATATAGTCCTTTTACACATACTAGCTAGTATAATAGGTTATTTGTGTAGTGCCATTTTAAACAAAGGGCAATTGATTTAATAAAAATGCACTGTCAGCATGCTTATAACAAGGCATTTGACAAGACATATTCAAACCTCTTTCTTGACCCTCACTGTATCTTTGATTTGTTTTCCCAACTAAATTATTGACCCTTATACTGTGTTTCCAGTGCCAATTATATTATTGTCAATTGGCTAGCATCAAAAATTACTATAGACTAATATGAATTTAAATTTCAGCTTAGATTGATGTAGATGATTAGATTCCAGACATTACTTATTTATTTTTATTATTATTCATATTGATAGACAGCACCTTGCCTAATTGCTATCATCCTGTTCTAAATTTTAGGGCTGGCCACAGTGGCTCGTGCCCATAATCAGAGCACTTTGGGAGGCCATTGAGGGAGACGCGTTTGAGCCCAGGAGTTTGAGACCAGCCTGGGTTACGCAGTGAGACCCTGTCTCTACAAAAAATAAAAATAAAAATAATAATTAGTAATACAGAGTTTAGTGTTGCAGATGAGGAAATCACTGTACTCCACTAGCAGAAGTTCTACTCTGCTATACAGAAATGCATTGTATCACATAAGCAATTATAAATGGCTTACATGCATTTAAGGTTCACAACAATATAATAGATACTATTTTCAACACTTTAGAGATGAAGAAGCTGAACCACTTGGGGTTAAATGATTTGCATAAATTCACATAACTGGTAATAAAAGAACCAAAATTCAAATCCTTCCAGGCTGACACCAGAACCTTGCTCTTAACCAAAAAACTCTACTGCTTTCATAATATGAGATATGAGACCAAATGCTCTTATTTTATAACAATCTGAAGACATCTGCCTTGCCAGCTAACTAGACTTAAACTGAAATTCAAAACTAGCTTTAAAGGATGGGATTGTCAGTATTGGAGCAAAGCTCAGGGAGGTACCACTTAAGCATAAGATGAATGTGCTGTTGTACCCATTACTTATATTTTCAAAATGATAAATAATAAATTATTTTTCTAAGGCCTTGAAATAAGTGATAATGTCAAAATATTTTCAGTAATTACAAACAAAAATGTATTCATTTTCAAGACGTATTACAAACAATTAAAAAATGTATCCATTTTCAAGATGTATTTTTTCTGGCTGATACATGAGTTAATTTGTGTCTATGAAATATATTGAGTTTAATAATGCTATGCCTATGATATTAATTTTCATGAGCTAACCATGCACTGTCACTATGAATCATTTTTAATAAGATAAATACATCTTAATGATAATGATCCTGTTTTTAATGTAATCAATACAGTTAAGTGTTTAAGATGCATTATGTTGTAAATTATGTTTTACCTTTGTGAAAATCTTATGAGAAAAACAATAGTATTAATCTGTATTATCATTAGGGGAGAGAAACTTAGAGAAGTTAGGAAACTTATCCAAGATAAAAAAGTGTAAGGCAGTTAGTATTCTAACCAAAGCTATCTTTCTATTCCCTTAACTAATGCTTTACTATCTCTGCTCATAAAATAAATTCCCACAATTTAGAACACCATAGGGAAACAACATTTGTATGAGGTTCTATGTCAATGTCATCTACTCACATTGTGCCCAAGAGTGGCCTTCACATAGCACAAAATATGAATGGTGCCTCCGCAAATTGCGTTATGCATCAAGGTAGAATAAACCTGGAATTCCCACCAGATATTCTTATGTATTTAAAAGTGACATTTATTCAATGAATGCCTTTCTAACTGATTCATAAATAAAAATTAGAAATATAGCCTAATGAGCAAACCAAAAAAGTCTCATGGACACAGCTTGTTTAGAATCTTTCACAGGTAATTGCAGCCTACTTTTATACGCATGCAATTCTTCACCAGAACAAAAAAAAAAAAGAAAGAGAAAAATAATCACAATAGAAAGGTGTAAACTTTTATTGGATTGCCCCCCTGGGATGCCGATCTTAAGGCAGGGGCATATGTCAGCTTCACAAGTAGACAGTGCTCAGATCAACTCCGCGGGAGAGCTCCTAGAAAAGCAAGAGCCCAGGAGTAAGGCAATTTACTAATCCCTAAGTAGAAGGCACAGGGTTGCTTTTATGAATTTTTATAGAAGAAAGACAAGGCTCACCACGTAAAATCCTGTGGTTTCATCACCAATACAGATATGACAGAACCTTTTTTTCTTTTCTCAAAGAAGATTCCAGTGGGACTAGTCCACCTGGAAGCCAGGAGGCAGAGAAGCATATTTTCTGTTCTTTCTTTCTTATCTCCCCTACTCTGTAATCAATGTGTCTCACCAGGGACCTTCATGTTGCCGAGTAAGCAACAATTTTCCAGCCAATTCTCCTCCTCCTACCTACCTTGAAAGCGTCTCTTTGTGAGTTTTTTATTCTTTTTAATTCCCTGACCTTAATATCATATTGTTTAGTTTTCAATAGATGCTCACTTACGATGGAGGTGGGAGTAGGGATATCACACCAAATCCTGAGTCAAACTTTAGGACAGGGCACATTTGATATAAACCATTAAATGTCAGAGTTGTATATAAGAAGCCCAAGAATAACTCTGTTCTCAAGCTCATCAGATTTAATAGCAGTTTTCAAATCAACGGTTTAAGAATTTAATCTCTAAGTTATGTGAAAACCACCACCAGCTACTCCCACATGAAGAAAGAATATAGTCCCTGACTTGAGGTTTGACTTAAAATTGTTTTGACTTTACAATTGTGTGAAATTTATACACATACAGTAGAAACTGCACATCAAATTTTGAATTCTGATCTTTTCCTTGGCTACTGTATGTGCTACAATACTCTCACGAGGTGCTGGGCCGGGGCAGGGAGTTGCAGCTCCCAGTCAGTCATGCCACCATGAAGGTAAACCCCCTGATTCCCTATAGTGGACTGTGTTGTCAGGTGATTTTGCCCAGCTATAGGCTAATGTAAGTGTTCTGAGCATGTTTAAGGTAGGCTTAGCTAAGCTAAACTACAGTGTTTGGAAGGTTAGGTGTATCAAATGACTCTTCCACTTACAATACAGTCAAGCTGAGGAGGATCTTGCAAAAGGATATCTGCTTCAGGAAACAAGTCAGTCTGGATGACCCTTATGTTTTATATCATCTATTTTTATTAAAACAGTTACAATTAAATATACTTAATGAGGAAGGTATATTCACTTTTTGAAAAATTACAAAACAAAATAAGTGCTTAAGAATGCTTAAAGAAATGTTTTATTATAGCTTATTAAAACTCAATTTCTGTTTAGTAATCAGGCCATCATAATGTATGCATTCATGCAACAAATATTCATGGAGGACATGAATGTAATAGTCAGCCAAGCATGAGTGAGATGGCTGTGCATGCTGGTGACCCACAGAATAAGACACCTTGACCTGAGATGCAAATTTAATGAGAAGAATGAAGGTTGATACCCCAACATGTCAGTGATAATGAAGAAAAAACCAGTAACTTAATTAGAGTAGGAAGAAATAAATGAGCATGAAGGAATGAGGTCCCAAAAACACGAAGCCCTAGAAATCTTTGAAAATATGGTAAAGGCAGCAGTCAGTATGGATTCAGTAAGCTGGGTTCAATGTTTTGGAAGTAGTTTAAAGCAACTATGAATCCAGGCATGGTGGAAATGTCCGGTGCCCATAAAGTCAACAGAAGTCTGCAACTAGAATGAATGCATGACAAAGTTGTGACCTGTGACACTTTATAGGTGGTTTATAATCCTCATATGCTATTGGGAGGTCAATGACTTTGTTACAGGTAGGTAGATGTGTATCCCTGCCTGGGTTGATGGTGACTTCTGGAAGTTTCTTATTTAAAAATGACCTCAAAGGTATACCTCCTTCTGTCATAACTTATACCTTGAAACTTTCTTTCTCTCTCTGTTTTAACCAAAGTAAATATTACAGTGAAAGTCCACATGACCATTCCCAAACTGTAGGAAGAATGATACAGACACACTCCTCTGCATTATTGTAGATTTGGTTCCAGACCACCAGGACCAAGTGAATATGGTAACAAAGCCAGTCATACAAATTGTTTGCTTTCCCTGTGAATATAAATGTTAAGTTTACACTATACAGTAGTTTATTAAGTGTGCAATAGCATTAAATCTAAAAGAAAAAAATCCTGAGCCTTCAACAAGTCTGTAGTTCTTCAAACAATTACAACAGTAACTTCAAAGATCAATGATTACTGATCACCATGACAGACATAATAATAATTAAAAAGTTTGAGATATTGCAAAAATTACCAAAATATGACTCAGAGACGGGAGCTGAACATATGCTATTGGAAAAATGGTGCCAACAGACTTGCTTGATGCAGGGTTGACACAAATCTTCAATTTGTAAAAATTGCAGGATCTCCAAAGAGCAATAAAGCAAAACACAATAAAATGGCATGTGCCTGTACCGATTTCCTCTTCACAGTGACTTCCAAGCTCTTATACATTTTGAGGGGGCAGGTAAAAAAAAGTACCACTACTTATTTATGGCATTTTGCTATAAGATGTTAAACATTCTGCCTTTTTTTTCTCCATATTCTCCTTTATTGTCTCAGTCCCCCAATTTGTTCTGGGTCTTCTCCACCTAAACTTAAGTTAAATTGAATAGTAATAAAGTACATATTTCATTTTTATTTTATTTTTTCCTCTACAAGTCTATCGCCTGTATTCATGGTGGCTTTAAATGCAAATACCTGGACTAGCTGGACAGATGCCCTCTCCATATCTAGCAATTTGTACTTGAAGGGAAGCATTTCAATGGAGCACACAATCATTTAGGCATGATTATCTATCTTCCACTTTTGCCCAAAATGAAGAACACCAAACTTGAACATCACATTTATAAGATGTATTCATGGAAACATCATATCCTATAAAAAATACACAACTGGATATATGCATAAAACAGGCACTTAAGAACATGTAGGTCAAACACAATATGGTAAAAACCTGTTTTGAATCCCTACTTATTTCTCAGAAGTTAATCTTCATGTTGCCCCAGGGTGTTGACCCACACAGTCCTCACCAAAACCACTACCTAAAATGAAGGTGGATTAAATGCAAAAGAAAGCACACACACAGAGAGACACACACACATACACACACAATCCTAACTTTCTCTAAAACAGGCATTCAGCAAAATTTTATTTTCTGGTGCATTCCCCCGAGATTTTCCTGAGGACATTTTAGAACATATTCTCCAGACGTACTAATGACCTGCTAATGAACTGACACAGACTGTACTTATGTAAATTATGAAGTTGCTGAACCTGGAGTTAAAGGTTGGTACATTTCAAGGATATGAAATCAATCTCCCTGATATTAATAACTGTCACCTATATGCCCTTCACGTCTGTGTTATTTCATGTCCCTCCACCTGATGAGTGTCATAGGTGACTTTGAAAGCCTGGACATTTATAGACATAACTACCTAATTTTCTCTATGTCCTGGTTTCTTAGTTCAGTTTTCTTTAGGGCAGTTATTTTTAGTTAAAAATGTCCAAATGTGCAGATCATTGCCGTCATGAAGATTGAGATTAGAAGCAGGGAGAAAAAGGAGCTGCTCCCTAATAGGATGGGCTATATAGCCTCTGAAAATGAGGAAGGTTAAGTGCAGCCTGCCAGAGAGAAGGCATATGATAAAGAATTTAAAGGGCAGAGTTGTAAAGAGGGCCTCAAGCTTCAGACATCTTCCCCAACTAGTCAACCTACCAACAAGTATTTCTTGAGAACCCATAGTTGATGTGCCTGAGGCTTGGGGAAAATTGTATGGCAGATCTTTACTCCCTTGGGTAAACATTAGCTTTACATGAAGTGTCCCTTTTAGAAAATTAAAGCCAGTGTTAACATCAATGTGACATGCCAAATCAATAAATATTTTTATATTCTACAAATATAATATTCTATGAATTGTTATAGTCTACATACCCTTGTAATTGTAATTAAGAAAATAAGACTAGAAATGATATAAAACAACATTTCTACCATAAAAGATAAAAGAATTAATTAGGCTATTTAAGGGAAAAGTGTTCATATGGTGACATATTTATTTTCCTCGAGGCATGTCTGGAAACAATCCACCAGGAAGCCTCAATTCACTGGAATATACCCCAGATCGAGGTTCTATAACAGTTTGTATTTTTCAATTAGACTGATCCATCCTTCCTTCACCATACAGTCAACAGCCTATAAAGTCAGCCAGAGACATTCCAGAACTTGTGAAAATCCTACTTGGCTGTCTTAACCTTTTGGTTCCTTATAGATTCTAACTTTTGCTTTTCTCTCTCCCTCTTTCTCTGTCTCTCTCCCATTTCTCTCTTCCTGCCCTTTCAAAATTGTATTTGAATACTACTTTTAATTAATTTTTTGACTGAGCAATGGAAGAAGGGCTGACAATTAGAGATTAAGAGAAAAAGTGAGACAGTGAAACCTATAAAGAAATACTAAAAAGAATACCTTTTAAATTTTCTATTTCCTTACCAATTACCAGTGGAGTTATCTTCTTAATGTCCTTCATATCCAACCCACCTCCACCCTTCCCTCTACTCACTCCCCATGTCTAAGGACGAGGCTCCACCATTGCCCCTAGAGTTCATATTCACCAGCTGTCTCTACATATTCTTTCATTCTCTTCATAATGCCTTGACTAGGGAGCCCACTTAGGAACTCCATATGGTACATGCTAAACTGAGGGCAGCCCAACTGCCTATGAAAGTAAAGAAAGGTGCGGGTACACAGAGGGCCCAACTTCCATCACAGGACCCTGCCATGAGAAAGGTAGCATGCTACATGTTCCATATGCATCAAAGCCAGCAAAAGGTACACAGCGGCAGAGTTCCAGGCCTTGCTACTCTGATTTTTTTCCTGGCACACAAGCACATTTAAAATCAGAAGTGGAAAGTAAAAAGGAAAGGTAAAGTTTTTATGTGAAAGATGATAGTCAACCTAAGAACCAGCAAGTTCACAGTGTGCTGAGGAAAGCCCAAGAAGGCAATATTGCTGCATTCTTAAAGTGCTTATTCTTGCACTATAACACTATGTTGAATCCTTGTTCTACTGTTTACTAGCTGCATAACTTTGGGCAAGTCACATAATAACTATATACCTCAGTTTCCTAATCTGTGAAATAGGACTAACAGTGTCAATTTTATCACTTTTTATGAAGATTAAATCATAAAACATGCTTAGAATTTGGCACAAACTTAGGTCTGCATCAATGCTATTATTTTACCATATGAGGCTGTTAAACATGAAACTTATTCAAGGCTCTGAGCATGTCATTTTATTTCAGCTCAGTAAAACACCTTATGCTCATAATAAAGATTTGAGTATCAAGAGTGTACTGAAGGAGGCATAGTAATACTTTGTTTATCATAGTAAGACAGATTTAATTATTTTAGAAACTTCTTTAGAAGTAGCTTTTCAAAAGAGAAGCATAAACAAAGAATGCCTTGTTCACTCATAAGATAGATTGAATTCCTTTGGGAAAAAAAATAACATACAGAATAGCTTGCTTCCTGATTTTTCTAGAAAAGCAGTGCTACATATGAAGATATAAATGGGAGAGGTGAAAATATCATAACTGCCAAAAGGAACATTCACTGAGAAAATGCTCATATATTTTGACAGAATATATTTCAATAGCTACACGGAATAATGATCCTCCATAGAGATGAGAGTATATTGTGAAGTCTCAATTTTTAGGTCTTTGAGAACTTACTTGCAAACCATTAAGTACTTATTTGGCACCAACTGTGAACTAGACTCCGTGAGGAGTACTAGGGTTACAATAATACATGACACATATATTTTGTATTTAAGGAACTATCAATCAGGTAGAAGGGAAAGACATTTAAAAAAATAGCTGGGAGTGGTGGCAGGCACCTGTAATTTCAGCTATTTGGGAGGCTGAAGCAGGAAAATCGCTTGAACCTGGGAGGCGGAGGTGGCAGTGAGCTGAGACTATGCCATTGCACTACAGCCTGGACGACAAGAGAGAAACTCCGTTTAAAAAAAGAAAAAAAAAAACAAAAACTATGATACAGTATAATTATTGCAAAAAGATGGATATAGTAAGCCATGCTGGGAGACAAAGGACAGAGAAAGTAATTTTTTCATGGGAGCAGGCAAACTTTGACAGGAAGAAGCACCGTGACTTTATGTGAAAATAGGTTATCTGCAGGTGTAATGAAGATGTAAATTATGATAAGGTCATACTGGATTAGAGTAGGCCATAAATTCAATCACTGGTATCATTATTAGAATAAATGTTGAGACACAGAGGCACAGATATACAGAGAAAAGAGCATGTGAAGATGTGGCTGAGATTGGAACTATGCTGCTGCAAGCCAGGAAACTCAGGAAGCCACCAGACACTGTGAGAATCAGGAGAGGATTCTCTGCTAGAGGCTCTGGAGGGAGGGTAGCCCTGCAAACACTTTGATTCTAGCCCTCTGTTTACTTAAATTTCTTTTGTATTAAGTCACCCAGTTTGTGATAATTTATCACAACGTCCACAGAAAACTAATACTTGACAATGTAGAAGGGGCTTAAGCTGCATTTTGAGGATTTTACATAAAACCTTACCAAACGGATGAGGAGAGAAAGGTCACCACAGGAACAGAAATAGGATGTACAAAACATGGACGTGAATGCAGCATGGTCTACTTTAAGGAACAGCTGTGGTTAGGCAAGGGTCAAAACCAAAGACCCTAGATGTGGCGTAGCAGAGACATTTGCTTCACACGCCTCTTTACAAGGATCTAGTCTGCAGTGAAATTTGTTTCAAGGTTCAGAGAAAAGATCAATCGAGGAAAAGGGTTACCTCCTGTGCCTTCTAATTGTCCAGAGAACTTTCTATTTGCCCATGCTAACCATACTGATGCCCTAACACATTTCTTTACTCAACCTCCCCTCCCTCACCCCAGCCACTTCAATAGCTTCGGATCCTAACTCAAGCCTTGAATAATTTTATGTTTCCTTTTCGACAGATCCTTCTCCAGTTTTTTACGTTCCCCACTAGGTTCAGCTAGTACACATGTATCCATGCCTGTACTTAAGAGATTTCTGGCCGGGCGTGGTGGCTAATGCCTGGAATCCCAGCACTTTGGGAGGCCGAGGCAGGCGGATCACCTGAGGTCAGGAGTTCAAGACCAGCCTGGCCAATATGGTGAAACCCCATCTCTACAAAAATACAAAAATTAGCCAGGCATGATGGTGGGCACCTGTAATCCCAGCTACTCGGGAGGCTGAGGCAGGAGAATTGCTTGAACTAGAGAAGCAGAGGTTGCAACGAGCCAAGATCGCACCACTGCACTCCAGCCTGGGCGACAGAGCGAAACTCTGCCTTAAAAAAAAAAAAAAAGAGAGAGAGAGAATTTTATGTCCCATAAATCATGCCAGCTAAGTAAAGTTCAGCCTGGAAGGGTAGTAGGCAAGTGAAAAAAAAAAAAAAAAGAGTTGTACAGGAACATCACATTCCAAGATGTCCACAAACATTTTCATCCAGGAAATGTTTTAAGCCAATCTAAATAACATATCGCATTCTGTAATCTGGCAAGCCACCCTTCAGCAGGAACAGGATTCCTCTACAGGCCAAAACAACAGAAGTGGTGAAAGACAGTTCCATCTTCCCGTCTTCAGTTTCCATTCATATCCTCTTTCCCTTCTTAGATAAGATTTGATGAAAAATAAGCCTTGAGGAAACTTAGAAGTGTAAAAAATAAATAATGATAAGGATTTAGCATTTGGATTTGGTAATTCATAGAGACATCTTCTCTGTCTATGGTGTGGGAAGATGTGGAAGCTCTACAGTTTGTAGCATATAAAAGGACTCCATCCAGGGGAAGTTTATAGCGCCATGGGGCCAGAGTCTGAGCTTTCCTTACAGAGAGGTCATCCAAAATGTGCTTTTGGCATAGGGGATTTTATGTAAGTCACAATAAGGTGAGTTCAGGTGAGCCTATTATCTACTGAGTCATTTTAAAGTTCTATATTCAGAAAAACCTGCCTAAAAAAATTTAGGAGAGGAAAAATAAACACCCGTTGACACAAGTCTCCAAAGTCTGCTGTATACATTCTCCTCAAAGGCCCACCTGGCATTATTCTGACAACTTTGAAAGCTTGATGGAGTTTGGCAAGCTTATACCCTCTTCAGGTGCATATATAAAAAAATAGTCTTTGGAAGCAAAGGAAATAACAGAATTATTTTTGTGCTCTAAACAAAGTAGAGTAGTTTCTACTGAGAATGAAACTATAGGTGGCTGGGAATTATTCTATCATTTGTAAGCTCCAGTGGATACTAAGCCTGTTGCCATTTTAAAAATGAAAGAAACCACATCAGTGTATGCCTTGTCAAAAAGTTCCACAGATATTTGTTGTTGTTGTTTTGTTTTACCACTATTTACACACCTGTCAGCAATACATGTTCTCTGTTCTACCCCTAGAGGAATGGCATTTAAGAAATGGATTATAAAAGAAACTTTATTTGAAGGATTACTGCATCTTGCTTTTTAATCATTTAGACTGCTTATACTAAATTTTAAGAAAAATTAAGCTTAACTTTTGCTTATATTAATTAATTTTCTACCATTACAGGTAAGTGGGACACAAGTTTGTTCTTTTCCAAAATACATATTCTTAGTATCTGGGTGTATACTTTGCAGGGGCCAAAGGAAAGCTTCTCCTTCACCCTCTAAGGTTTCTTGAAAATGAACGTCACAATAGGCATTAAGACAAGACATACAGATCTACTTAACATGCATAGCATCGGGGAATCGCATGGGAATGATTAACCAACAACCCAGTGAGGTCCAGATTATTACAGATTCTTTTGCATAAGGGAAGAGGAGATAGGAAGAAATGTGACAACTTTGTGGGAAGCAAATGATTTTAGAAAGAATGAGTGAGTTTAATGCTCAGACAATGGTTAATAAGTGATACTCTTTGGGAATCAAGTGGGTCTGCAAGATTGAACAATGGTTCCTGACAAAATCTGTCCAAATGTTACATTCCTCAGTCAATAGGTAAGAAGACTTCAGGAAGGAATTGGAAGGCACATGTGTTGTCTTTGGAAGGTCCAGTCTTTATGAAGTTACAGGAAAAGCCTTTTCCAGCATCTGCTGACTTTCAAGAGTTTTTAATTTAAAATAATTGTCCAGGCACAGCGGCTGATGCCCATAATCCCAGCACTTTGGAAGGCCGACGCAGGCAGATCACCTGAGGTCAGGAGTTCGAGACCAGCCTGGCCAACATGGCAAAATCCCATCCCAACTGAAAAATACAAAAGTTAGTCACATGTGGTGGTGGGCACTTGTAATCCCAGCTACTCAGGAGGCTGAGACAGCAGAATAGCTTGAACCCAGGAGGTGTTGGTTGCAGTGAGCCAGGATCGTGCCACTGTACTCCAGCCTGGGCGACAGAGCGAGACTCCATCACAAAAAAAAAAAAAAAAAAATCAGCGTGGCAGAGTGTCACATTGGTTGAAAGTTCCTGGACTCCTTCAGCTTTACTCTTCCTCCTCTATTTGGAAATAAAATGTTAGGTGGCAGTGAAGGGTTGAATCAGATAAGAGCCATACCAAATAATTCAAATTAAACAAGTCAAAGAAAAACTAACTTCAAATATTCTGCTCTTTCTTTAGAGTGCTGAGGACAGAGGACCAGGAAGACAGATCTTTATAATTCAACTTGCTCAGACAGTGTTGTACTCTCCCTGCATTTTCTCCAAGCCTTCATTGAAATAGCCATGTGCCATAGGGCTTTGTCTGCAGTGCATTGGGCAATGGTAAAGGGTTGGAGATCATACATGGGAGAACGTGGACAGAAAAAAAAATTAACTAACTACTGCAGGAAAGAAGAAAGTATATGAGAACACAGTGGAAGGAGGACCACAGATGGACAGTGGGCAGAGCACATATATAAATTTATAGATATCTTAAGAAGGGCACCAGATTGAAAGTAGGATGGGAAATGTGAGTGTTTTTCATTAAAACATTAAAGTTTTAGGTGATCCCAAAAATATAGAGAACTCACAGACATTGAAGTTACATATGGATAATTCAAAAATACAGAAGTATACGAGAAAAAGGTTTTAAAAATTTATAAAATGATTGTCTTTGTAAGGAAACACATAAAGCATTTCATCTTTCTTTAAATTTTTTATGTTTTGCAAAATTTTATGCCATAAGCAGAAATTAATTTATAATAAACAAATACAAGAGTTCAGTTACATCTTTCATGTTCCCTTTACACTGTAATGTGATATTATTACAGTATAATTAAACTTATGCTTTGCAACACAATAAACAAAACACTTTCATTTATATAAATCCACAAATAAATAAAAAAAATTAGTGCACGTACGTCTTATCATCTAAGTGATCACCAAGCCTTCCTTACTTTAGCAGGCCAACCTGAAAAGCTCCATAGGTTTCTACACTCTCTGAGTTATCTGTTTCCCAGCCAGAAGAACTGGATGTGAGGGAGGAAAGTCCTGTGAGCAACTCTCTCCGGGCCAACTCCCTGGAGGAGACGAACTAATAATACCTAAGCTAAGTATTCTGTCTGTTGTTGTTTCTCAGGCATTTTGACTTAAAATATCTAAATGCCTGAGAGAAAGTATTGTGATATTCAGACCATCTGAGAATCGGAAGGACACGAGAATGAATGAAGGACAACTATAAAGACACAAAGTAAAACCCACAAAATCAGTGGAACACAAATGATAAGTGAAGGTGTGGGGGAGTGGAAAATGGCTTTCCTCCACCCTTTTAGGTGCTTTGGATGGGCTAGGAATCAAATTGACATAGACACTAAAAGGGGAAAAAACATATTTAATTACATACATACACATGAGAGTCTCACAAAGTGTGAGACTAGAGGAAGGGTCAGATGATTGAAGATTGTATAACATCCTGAGCTACAGGTAGAAATAGGGGCTTCAAGCTTCTAGTGGGAGGTGGCAACACAAGTTAGGGTAGAGTGAGAAGAAGAAATATATTATTGTATTAGGCCACTCTTGCAGTGCTATAAAGAAATAACTGAGACTGGATACTTTATAAAGAAAAGAGGCTTGATTGGCTGACAGTTCTGCAGGCTGTACAAGCATGGTGCCGGCATCTCCCAGCTTCTGGGGAGGCCTCAGGAAGCTTTTACTCAGGGTGGAAAGCAAAGTGGAAGCTTGTGCATCAGATGGTCAAAGTAGGAAAGAGAGAGAGGGAGGGAGGGGAGAGAGGTGTGTCACACTTTTAAATAACCAGATCTCACAAAAACTCAGTGCAGGAAGTAACTTGTCACCCAGGGGATAGTCCAAGCCATTTATAAGGGATCCAGCCCCATGATCTAAATACCTCCCACCAGGCCCTACCCCCAACAGTTGGGATTATGATTCAACATCTGATTTTGGCAGAACATCCAAACCATATAAATGGTGAATAAAGGGTGTCTTATTATGCAGATAAAAAGTCTCTCAGGTAATAAAAGTTGTCTGGGAGCAGTCATCTTCCTGACAAAGATACTTTTACTACAATAGGTTTCCTTTATATATGTAAATTTATTTAACAAAAGCATAGCTTTTCAGAACTACTCCTGTGTCTGCAGTTTCTCAGAATAACCCAGCTCAAAATATGCCAAAGAAGTATGTTTTAGGGTGGCACATTCTGGTCTCCTACAAGCACATTTTGGGGTGGTGTGTCCTGAGCCCCAAGGCATGTGAGAAATCTATTAATAAACTAAACACATTTTTAAAAAACTTAGTAAGGGGGTGGAAATAAATGTGATATCAGGGTGTTGTTGCTGTGTCTTTTTTGTGGAACGAAATCTAATTTTAAAAACCAAACATGTTCTTATTTTTTCAGAACCTGCAAGGAGGCCTACCTGCCTCTAACTTTCACAGAAGTAAGTTGAACCTCCAGGTATTGCCTCTCTATTTAGCTGAAAAAATAATCCCAAGCATTTTTGTAGTCATCACTGTGGGATACCCAATAACACTTCCAGCTTCCTAGCTCTGCACAGTAATCAAAGTGCATCCTTAGTATTCCCTGCACACAAATGCTGTTTTACTCATTCTTAAAATTCCTGAAACTGCCTTCCCGGTCTTTAGAACTTGTCTGACTCTTTCTAAGGTGTTTTCCCATCCCTAAACTTATTGCTACTGGGGTCTTTTGTACCCAACATTCTATCCAGACCTGTTTGGATACTGAAATTCTGCTTTAAGCTACATTTCCAAGTCCATTGCTGTCCTGCTGCTGAATAAGCCTGAGTAAGTCCTAAAGGAAGGAACAGACACTTGCATTCCTTTGGAAAATTGGTGGAAGGGGGACCAAAGTAGAGTAAAACAATACAAAAATAAAATGAAAAAAAGAAAAAACAACTATTAAAAAAACAGGTATGTTTTGGAAGGAAGACCTCTGGCTGGTTTCTTCTTTTTTTTTTTCTTTAATTTTTTTTTTATTATTATACTTTAAGTTCTAGGGTACATGTGCACAACGTGCAGGTTTGTTACATATGTATACATGCTCCATGTTGGTGTGCTGCACCCATTAACTTGCCATTTACATTAGGTATATCTCCTAATGCTATCCCTCCCTGCTCCCCCCACCCCATGACAGGCCCCAGTGTGTGATGTTCCCCTTCCTGTGTCCAAGTGCTCTCATTGTTCAATTCCCACCTATGAGTGAGAACATGCGGTGTTTGGTGTTTTGTCCTTGTGATAGTCTGCTGAGAATGATGGTTTCCAGCTTCATCCATGTCCCTACAAAGGACATGAACTCATCCTTTTTTTATGGCTGCATAGTATTCCATAGTGTATATTTGCCACATTTTCTCAATCCAGTCTATCACTGATGGACATTTGGGTTGGTTCCAAGTCTTAGCTATTGTGAATAGTGCCGCAATAAACATACGTGTGCATGTGTCTTTATAGCAGCATGATTTATAGTCCTTTGGGTATTTACCCAGTAATGGGATTGCTGGGTCAAATGGTATTTCTAGTTCTAGATCCTTGAGGAATTGCCACACTGTCTTCCACAATGGTTGAACTAGTTTACAGTCTCACCAACAGAGTAAAAGTGTTCCTATTTGTCCACATCCTCTCCAGCACTTGTTGTTTCCTGACTTTTTAATGATTGCCATTCTAATCGGTGTGAGATGGTATCTCATAGTGGTTTTGATTTGCATTTTTTTGACGGTTTCTTCTTTTTTTCATTAAAAAATAAATTCTAATACAGTTTCTTTTTAAAGTATTATATTCTTAAATCTAAAATATAATCCAATTCAATGAGCCTTCTATGTCCTAAAATTTTACAAAAAGATTTCAAGAAACAAATGTACCTTAATTCAAAATTAGAGGCAGATTTATTCATTCAGATTTATTTGGTTTAGGGGTGATTATATGATGCTAAAGTTAATAGGGAAAAAAAACCAAATATCTAGGAATTTTGTCCACATTATTAAGAAAGCAATTTAACTACTTATGTTAAGTAAAATTATTAAAATCTACTAATAAACAGGAACTCTAAAATTGACACGATCATGGTAAGAACTATCCATGCTTTATAAAGAATTTAGATTCCTCATTTTTAAGAAATTTCATATTTCTCTATTAGTGAAATTCACAAAATACAAAGGGTCTGCTTGCATGTTTTTTGGAAACAGCAGCAAAAGGGTCATGGGGCAGGAATGGCAGGTGAGGTGAGTAGGGAGTGTGATTTTATATCATTCAGCAGTGTTCTTGGTTTAGTGGAAACCTCATGTTAACATAGGTGTTGGGAAGCTAAGAACCAATGACCAAAGGTCAAGTCGCTATCCTCATTGTAGGAAAGACAGGACTGCAAAAGTAATTTAGGTCCAGAATATCCCTAGCTGTAATACAATGCTAGAAAAGATGGAAGACTATATCCCTCAGTGCATACTCTATGAAATAATCCTTATTAGCCACTTTGGACAATATTTCCCCAGACCCTTAATGAATATTTTAGAGTTATGCAAGATAATCAAAGCTAAATGCTTTTTGATATTGTTCTCCTTCCCTTTATCTCTCTTTCACAAGAGTTGCCTCTCCATCTTTCCCTCTAGCTTAATTCTGTCGACCTTAACTTCATGAGACAGAAGAGTAAATTGAATTTTTTACATTTTCATAACATACTCATTTCCTTTATTTCACAAGTGACTTGTACGGGTGTGTGTAGACAACATAATCACTGTGCCATTCATTGAGGAATTCATTGGCACTAAGAATTGGCATTTAATTTATTTTCCCTCATTTGAAAAATACTGTGGAAAAAAAATGAAGTACCTTTTAAAATGTATTTCTCCGACCAAACAATCCAACTCTTTTCTTTTACAGTTCTGTTATTGCCACATAGCTATCATTTTTTCAAGCATTTTTTAAATGGAAGTGTGATCTACAAATAATACAACTGTCTGAACTTTAAAAATCACATTATTCTGAACACTGCAGAATGATTGCTAGCAAATATTTTTCAGTATGTTGTCACTGAAATATCACATACAAGTTAGATGTTGTGTAATGCGTATGCCAGGATAGAACCTTATGTTCACAGGTTTTGAAAATATAATTTCTAACTTCAACAAAATAGAAATGAAATATCTATTTTCAGAGCATAAATGTATTCTGAAGCACTGACAGAATGACAAATATTAAAATGAGTCCTGTATTCCAAAGTGACAGCCTAGGCTAACATGAAACTTTTAAAGTCAGGACAAATCACTTGAAGATACTGCCAATATATTTCTTTTTTTTCCTATCAATGTGTTTTGCATGAAATTACTTTTCTGCAGTTTTGACATGTTCTAAACCAAAAGTATAATAAAAGTATGCTTCAACTTGTAATTATTATTTTAGAAAAAATCTATTTTTCTTTCTATTTTCAAGGAAACACGTTGTTACAAAGTATTAGTGGCATTTATGGCTGCCAACTACTGAGCATTTCTTTCAGCTGTTCTACCACACCGGCATGCATTTTCCCCAGTCTCACAAAATCAATGAAGTAGGCTCTGATTCCACATTTCACAAAGAAGAAGACTGTATTCACAGGCACTATGTGATGTTGGCCATGACCACACAGCTGGAAAATGATGCCACAAAATTTCCAATCAAAAACTGATACCGAACTACATGATTTTTCTGATTCTATTTTCATTGCTGACCTTATTAAATATAATAACAATTCATATGCATGTATAAGAATTTTTATTAGGCCCTAAATAATACAAACAAATTAGAAAACTCTGCCATTAAACAGTGAAAAGCAGCTCTCCTCTATTTAGTATATTCATTGTATGTTTTTACATTTTTAAATTTGTTTATTTGAAAATTTCCAAACATTAATAGCCTTTATTTGCCATTGTTCTACAGCTGGTAACCCACATATTATCCTACTATTGAAATTAACTTGGATCCTATCAATTCAAAATTTTGAATTTGCGTGGCCTTTTTTAACATAAGAAATATATGCAGACTCGCATTATAAATGAATAAAATTTCTCATTAATTCAGCCTGTATAATCAAAAATTATTCAGAGTTATGTTTTTTTTTTCACCAGGTTATTTCTAGGTAAATGTCTTCCATCACCTTGCTCAGGGCTGTGCTAATAATTACTATGATCTCTCTGTCATAACCTAATATCTTTAATTAAAATTTTTAAAAACATGATTTCCAGGCAAGATGAGCACATATTTATGGACATTTGGATGCTGCTCTTAGTTTCCTCCAGCACATTTACTAAAATAACCACCATACATCTTTTTGTGAAAATATATATGGAAATATATATAGATTTAAAAGTATACTAAAAAGCTTCTGTACAGCAAAAGAAATAATCAGCAGAGTAAACAGAGAGCCTAGGAAATGGGAGAAAATCTTTGTAAACAATGCATCCAAAAAAAAGTTAATATCGCAAATCTACAAAAATCAAACAACTCAACAACCACACAAGAAAGAAAAGGCACAAATACTTCCATTAAAATGTGGGAAAGAGCACAAGCAGAAACTTTCAAAAGATGGCATTTAAGTGGCTGACAAACATGAAAATATGCTCAAATTCACTAATTATCAGAGAAATGCAAATTGAAGCCACAATTCAAGACCATCTTATACCAGTAAACAACAGATGTTGGTTAAGATGCAGAGTAAAGGGAATGCTTATACACTGTTGGAAATGTAAATTAGTAGTACCTCTATGGAAAACAGTATAGAGATTTGTCAATGTACTAAAAATGGAATTATCATTTGATCCAGCAATCCTACTACTGTGTATCTACTCAAAGGAAAATAAATCATTTTTTTCAAAAAGACACCTGCACTGGTTTGTTTACTGCAACACCATTCACAATAGCAAAGATACGGAATCAACCAAAATGTCTACCAATTGACAATTAAATTTAAAAAGTCATATATATATACACACATACACACATATATATACTATATATACACTATATATATTAAATTTAAAAAGTCATATATATACACACACACGTATGTACACACACACACACACACACACACACAATGGAATACTACTCAGACATAAAAAATAATAAATAACAGCTTTTGCCCAAACAGGAATGGAATTAGAGGTCATAATCTTTACTGAAATGACTCAGAAACAGAAAGTCAAAAACTGCTCACATGTTTTCACTTATAAGTGAGAGTTAAACAATGGGTACACATGGACATAAGGAATGGAATAATAGACATTGGAGATTCCAAAAGCACAGAGGGTGGGAAGGGAAGGAGGGATGAAATACTACATGCTGTGTACAATGTACACTATCTTGGTGATGGGTGCAATAAAGCTCAGACTTCAACAGTATGCAGTATATCCACATAATACAACTGCATTGTACCGCTAAATCTATAAACATAAAAAATTAAATTTAAAATTTAATACATATTTTTAAACTTGGAGTTGGCATCAAAATCTTCATATAAAAAAACACCCGAATAGCAAACCTGCAAGCACTTCTGGTAATGGCATAACATTAGCATCAGATTGGCAGAAAAACAATCACACCATAAACTCTATTCTTGGGCACTTTCTAATACTTCTAATCCCTCTATAGTACAAAAACAACAGATATTCAGAACCTAAATCTGTGACCTACTGTGAAATTCTTTGGAAAGGATCTAGTGGTTTTTTACAATACCCATGTCCATTGCTAAAGCTTTGTAAATCAATCCTAAACAAACATACCTCCGCAGTGAGTATAAATAGACTAGGGAAAATTTCTCAATGCTGGGAGAGAACACCTAATGTATGAAGACTCAGAATAATTTCCTCTTTAAAAGTGTATTTGCATGAACATTTAGAAGAAAACTTTAGAGAATATCTGATTTGTACTCTCAAGGAAAATCATGAGGCTATAGCCTTCGTGAAATTAATTTGAATCAACATGAGAAAAGGAGAATCATAGAAAAGTAAAAAATTTGCAGATAGAAAAGGCACAAAACTGATTTTTTAAGAGGCATAAAAAAGCTCACTGAGTCTTAGACTGAACTAATGAAAAGGATGTCCATCTAGCTATATTAAGGCGGAAATGTAAGATGCTTATAATGATGATAAATAATGACTCACTAACCTGCAGAAGAAGAAAAATGGCACTGGTGTTAACCTTGTCCAATGTAGATTACAAAGGGATATTAACTGTAGAGATTTGAAGGGGAAAAAATATAATACATCCTCAGAGTTTAGCACCAAGCAAACTTTAGTTATTAGAGAAAGGTAAACAAAAAGTTGTTAAATGCAAATGCTCAAAAATAAATCAACTAAGTACAATCCTTGAATGTTATTCCCATGTTAAATAAGAGACTAGCAATCAAAAGAGCATTTAAGAGATGATTGGAAATTTTAAAAATTGCTTAAAAACAAAGAAATACAAAAGTATTTTTAAAGTTAAAAATTATATTTGATTTAGGTCTTCGAATTTCTTTACTATTCAGTAAGACCAAGTTTTTAAAAAAACCGGGAAAGAAAAAAGAAAAGGTCAGTGGAATCTGCTTCTAAAAACCATTAAATTCTTCTCTTGGTGTGGAGGAAATATAATTTTAAATTTGAACTCAGTTGAACATGGACACAGATAATAGTCACCAAGTCCTGGGACAGGTTGTATGAGCCCCTTGAGGCTTTCTTTCATCCAGCACTGTTTCAGAGAAATTTCTATTTCCATCTATTCCTATAGGTTAGCTATTAAAAAAAATAGACAATCACAAAAACAAATTGACCTTTTTGTGTTCCTTGAGCCCAGTCATGAAGGGCCCTTGTGACTGGACCTCATGCGAAACAACTCTGTACAAGAAGAGCTAGGGTCCCAGACTGCACCGAAGCCTCATGAGACCTCTCCTCCTCTGTGCACAGACGAGTGGCCAACTCTGGAGGCCAGGCAGTTGGTTCCTGGTCTGGTGGTGAATCCTCCATAGTCTAGTGAGTGCAGTGTCTGACTCTGGAGCCCAGGCTGTTGATTTCCAGTCTGGTGGTGAATCCTCCATAGTCTGGTGAGTGTAAATATCTTTTCCCTTCTCCCCTTCCCATTGCAATTTGCTTATTATATCAATCTGCTTATATCATTTGCTTATTATTATATCATTTGCTTATTATATCTGCATTGCCATATACATGGGATAAAGGCTGTTTACCCTTAAAGGTACTGTGTGTGTGTCTTTTCTTCTCCCCTCATGCGTTTCCCGCACAGAACATTTTTGGCGTCACGAACAGGATTCGAAAAGGAAAGTATGCCACTTTTTGGACACAAGGACAGGGCTGGACATCCCATGTCCCGGGATGGGAACTCCCCCAGTTCTCCTCCTTGGCAATTGAATAGTCCAGGGTAACTGGCCTTTATGAAAATTGGGAATCTAAATTAGTGCATTTTGAACCATTGGCTTTGTGTGAGGTGCTGCATGTAACCCAGATGGTAAAGGGGACGCTGAGGGAATTTCCCGGCATGGATGGTGCTTGCTTACTGCTTGTAAGTTTATGTGTCAAGATAGGGACTGGTTGCTACAGAAGAAATGTAAGCTGGAAAAGAAAAATGCTAATCTGACTTCCAGACTGGCCCTGGCCCAATGCCAGGCCTATGCCTTGACTGATCAGGCTCAAAGCTATCAGCCTATTGCTGAAAAAAGCGGCTGTCTGAGTGGCCTGGGTCAGGCTAAAACTGAAGAACTAGTCAAACGTGGTTTGTAGCAGGTAAAAACCCAGCTCCTATCTCAACTATGGGAAATTAATCCTAGTAAAATTCAAGGACCTGCACAAACTATAAAATTCCTTGGCATCCTATGGAATAAGGGAAATAGTCCATTTTACCAAAGGCTATAGCTAAAATACTAGAATTTGCAACCGCTATCACTAAGAAGGAGGCTCAGAAATTTATTGGCTTGTTTGGATTATGGAAGCATCATATTCCTCACGTGGGTAACATTTTACAACATCTGCATGAAGACGCTAGAAAACGCTATGACTTTCACTGGGGACAGAAAGACAGCATGGTTTTTGAACAAGCTAAACAACCAGTGCAACTGGCCCTAAATCTATGACTCATACAGGATGGGTGAGTAAAACTGCAAGTAACTGTCCTAGATCAACATGCTAATTGAAGCCTTTGGCAAAAACAAGATGGGAAGAGTGTACCTTTGTGGCTATGCATCCGGGAGCTGCCAGAGGCCAGCAAAGCTTACACACCTTTCAAAAAGCAACTGTCAGCTTGCTGTTGAGCTTTGCTGGAAACAGAGCACCTCTGCCTCAACCATGATGTCTTTATGAGGCCTAAAATTCCTGTTATGATTTGGCTCATGAGTTCCCTCAAAACTCACTGGATAGGGCAGACCCAAGAAAGTAGCATCATAAAATGGAAATAGTATATTCAAGACCAGGCTAAGCCAAAACCAAAGGGGGTATCACTTTTACATGAGAATGTTCAAAACTTTCCAGTCCTGCAGATAGGGAAGGAAACCTCCCTTGCCCAATGGGGCAAATCCTTTATAAGAACTAAGCCCAGAGGATCAGACACATGCTTGGTTTACTGATGAATCTGCCAGATATATTGATGGGACCCGATGCTGGAAGTCTGTAGCTTGCAATCCTGTTAAAAACATAAGCATTTCTGATGAAAGAATGAAGGAAGGGGTGGGAGCAGCCAGCTGGCTGAACTAGAAGCCACCATCCAAGCTATTCAGGAGGAGGCCAAGGGATTTGTCACTTGAATACCAACTCTTGGTCAGTAGCAAATGGTCTTACTACCTGGATGCCCCAATGGCAACAAAACAAATGGTTAATTGGGAATAAAGAGGTTTGGGGAAAACAATACTGGGAAGATATCCTAATCCTAGCGCACACTACCATTATCACTGTTTTCTATGTTGATGCTCATGCACCTCTTTTTTCTCTTGACAGACTATTTAATCAGCAGGCAGATCAACAGGCCAAAATTTCCACCATAACAGCAAACTTAAATGTGGATGGATTACAACACGTTCAAGCCTTGCAATGGCAGGCATTATAATGTATGGTGGTATAACTGTTAGTAATTACCAGGGAGAGTTAGAAATCATTTTATACAATATCGCTCCAGAGTCTTTTGCTATAAAACCGCAGATGCAGGTTGCTTAATTGTTAGTGGTACCTTGCCAACAATTAACCCCCAAGGAAATTTCTGCCCCCAATAGAAACAACATATAGAACTGGAGAATTCAGGTCCACCAGAGTGGGCAACTTAAATCCTGGTGCCAAAATATGGGTCCAGTGTCCATCAGATCCCATCCCTAAGGCTGGTGACCTTGTAGCTATGGGAGCAGAAAATGAAGGCAGAGTACAATTTCCTAAAGATGAAAAATGATATCATGTTCCCCTCCGCTTTTGTTATTACAGAGAATAACCTATCTGCTAGTAATCAGTACTTGAGTCATCATGTCTGAGGCTGGGAATGAGTTCATCCCCTGGGTAGCCACCACTGCAACACAAGCCAACCACAGTCAGTGCTGGCTATGTGCCAAGTTGCCAGCTGCAGGGAATGAATTACCTTGGAAAATTATCTCTGCCAACATTTCCGAGTGGCTATGTCACTACCAATGGGGTCAGGAGGATAGCACCTGTAGTACAACCTGGACTTCTTTTAACCAAACCAAACAGTCTATTTTTGCCCAAGCCCAAAGAAACACAGCATCTTTGTTACTTAAATAACATATTGCAACAGTACAATTATAGTCAAACCATTGCTGTCCCCTGGGAGCCCTTAGGGTATGTGGGTCCTCTGGAGAGTGATACCTATCCCCACATTGGATGGGGAGATGCACTTGAGGGTGGCCATTAATTCTATTCACCATCTGGGATGATATTCCCCTCCCCAGTAATCTAAATGCTTACAAACATCACTGGTAATAAATGTGCCGGACTCCCTGGTGGTGGTACCCTATCACAGTATTCACCCCTGCCACCGGTATAATCCTGCCTCAGCAACAAGTTAAAATATTAAGCTTACATGTAGAAAAAGCTCTTAACGATAGTAGCACTGGACTTGTGTTGTTATCAGATGAATTTGCTCAGCTGAGTACTGTTGTGTTGGAAAATCGAATGACATTAGATATGCTTACCACAGCCCAAGGAGGGGTTTATGCCTTACTGCATACTTAATGTTATGTGTATATCCCTGACAATTCTCACAATATTACTCTCCTTGAGAAGCCGTGGTGGTGTGGTTTTTATTAATTGTGGTTTTAATTCTCCTCTGCTTACCCTGTATCTGTAACCTATAGCAACTATGACTTCCCCGTGTATCTCTAAGGGTATTTTCCTACAATTGAGTATCAAATTGAGGCCAAGTGTAGAGGAAAAGTTAAAAATTAAATTCAAACTCAATTGAACATGGACACAAACAATGGTCACCAAGTCCTGGAACAGGTTGTATGAGCCCCTTGAGGCTTTCATCCAGCACTGTTTTGGAGAAACCTCTATTTCAATCTCTTCCTATATGGTAGTTATTAAAAAACAATAGACAATCATAAAAACAAGTTGACCTTTTTTGTGTTCCTTGAGCACAGTCATGAAGGGCCCTTGTGACTGGACTTCATACCAAACAACTTGTTACAAAAAGAGCTAGGGTCCCAGACTGCGCTGAAGCTTCCTGAGACCTCTCCCCATCTGTGCATGGATAAGTGGCTGAGTCTGGAGCCCAGGCCATTGCTTCCGGGTCTGATGGTGAATCCTCCATAGCCTGGTGAGTGCAGTGTCCGACTCTGGAGCCCAGGCTGTTGCTTCCCAGTCTGGTGGTGAATCCATCATAGCCTGCTGAGTGTAAATATCTTTTCCCTTCTTCGATTCCCATTGAAATTTACTTATTATGTTCAATCTGCTTATTATGTCAATTTCCTTTTTATATCATTTGCTTATTATTATATCATTTGCTTATTATACTGCATTTCCATTTACATGGGATAAAGGTTGTTTTCCCCTTAAAGATACTGTGTGTGTGTCTTTTCTTCTCCTCTCATGCGTTTCCCACACAGAACGGTTGGTAATAGGGATGTGGCAAAAAAAGTTAATTAGCTTGATAGTGATAATCATTTCACAATATACAGGTATATCAAAACATCATGTTGTTTGTAAATTCTACTACAATAAACCTTTACATTTTGTAAAAATATATTAACTAGGAAGCAAATAAGAGAAGTAAAATAAAATCAAATAAATAAGTAATTAAATAAGCCAGGTGCAGTGGCTCATGCCTTTAATCCTAGTAATTTGAGAGGCTGAGGCAGGAGGACAGCTTGAGCCCAGGAGTTTGAGACCAATATGGGTAACTCAGTGAGACCCTGTGTATTAGTCCATTCTCACACTTCTATAAAGAACTACCTGAGACTGGGCAATTTATGAATAAAAGAGGTTAAATTGATGCAGAATTCTGCAGGCTTAACAGGAAGCATGACTGGGAAGCCTCAGGAAACTTACAATCATAGTGGACAGAGAAGGGGAAGCAAGCATGTCTTACCATGGCAGACCAAAAGAGAGAGAGTGAAGAGGAACATGCTACACACTTTGAAACCATCATAACTCATGAAAACTCAGCCACTATCACAAGAACAGCAAGGGGAAAATCTGCCATCATGATCCAATCACCTCCCACCAAGGTCCCCCGCTTATTTGACAAGGGATTTGGGCAGGGACACAAATCCAAATCATATCATTCTGCCCCGGCCCCTCCCAAATCTCCTGTCCTTCTCAAACTGCAAAATACAATTATCTCTTCTCAATAATACCTCAGTCTTAATGCATTTCAGCCTTAACTTAAAAGTCCACAGTCAAAAGTCTCATCTGAGACAAGGTAAGTCCCTTTCACCTATGAACCTGTAAAATCAAAAAAAGTTAGGTACTTCCAAAATACAATGGGGGTACAGGCATTGGGTAAATATTCCCACTCCAAATGAAAGAAATTGGCCAAAACAAAGAAGCTACAGGCTCCACACAATTCCAAAACCAAGTGGGCAGTCATTTAATCTTAAAGCTCCAAAATAATCACCTTTGACTCAATGTGTCATATCCAGGGCACACTGATGCTAGGGGTGGGTTCTCAAGGCCTTGGGCAGCTCCGCCCCTATGGCTTTGCAGGGTTCAGCCCCTGTGGCTGCTCTCATGGGCTGGCATTGAGTGCCTACAGCTCTTTCAGCACATTGTGCAAGCTGTCTGTGGATCTACCATTCTGAGGTCTGAAAGAGGGAGGCCCCCTTCTCACAGCTTCATGTGGCAGTGCCCCAGTGGAGACTGTGTGTGGGCTCCCAGCCCACATTTCCCCCTACCCTGACCTGGTAGAGGTTCTGCATGGGGGCTCTGCCCCTGCAGCAGATTTCTGCCTGGATATCCAGGAATTTTCATACATCCTCTGAAATCTAGCAGAGTTTCCTAAACTTCAACTCTTGCCTTCTGTGCACTTGAAAGCCCAACACTTTGTGGAAGCCACCAAGGTTTGGGGTTTGCACCCTCTGAAGCAATGGCCCAAGCTGTACCTTGCCCTCTTTTAGCCATGGCTGGAAGTGGAGCAGCTGGGACACAGGGCACCATGTCCCAAGGCTGCAGAGAGCAGCAGTGCCCTAGGCCTATCCCAGGAAACCATTTTTCCCTCCTAGGTCTCTGGGCCTGTGATGGGAGGGGCTGATGCAAGGGTCTCTGATATGTGCTGGAGGCATTTTCCCCATTGTCTTGGTTATTAACATTCGGCTCCTCCTTACTTAGGCAAACTTCTGCAGCTGGCTAGAATTTCTCCGGAGAAAATGGGTTTCCTTTACTACTGCATAGCTGGGTTGCAAATTTTCCAAACTTTTTATGCTCTGCTTCCTTTTTAAATATAAGTTCTCTTTGTTTATGCAAATGAGCGTAGACTTTTAGGAGCAGCAAGGCCACCTCTTCAATGTTTTGCTGCTTAGAAATTTCTTCCATTAGATACTCAAAATCTCAAGTTCAAAGTTCCACAGATCTCTAGAGCAGGAGCAAAATGCCACCAGTGTCTTTGCTAAAGCAAAATAAGAGTGACCTTTGTTCCAGTTCCCAGTAAGTTCCTCATCTCCCTCTGATACCTCTTCAGCATGGAATTCACTGTTCATATCACTATCAGCATTTTTGTCACAACCATTCAACAAGTTTCCATGAAGTTCCAAACTTTTCCACGTCTTCCTGTCTTCTTCTGAGCCTTCCAAACTGTTCCAACCTTTGCCTATTGCCCAGTTCCAAAGCTGCTTCCACATTTTCAGGTATCTGTATAGCAGTGCCCCACTCTTCTGGTACCAATTTTCTGTATTAGTCCATTTTCACACTGCTATAAAAAACTATAAAAATTATACCACTGCTATAAAAAAGACTGTGCAATTTATTAAGGAAAGAGATTTAATTGACTTACAGTTCCTCGGGTATAACAGGAAGCATGTTTGGGAGACCTCAGGAAACTTACGATCATGGTGGAAGGTGAAGGGCAAGCTAGCACCTCTTACCATGGTAGAGCAGTAAAAAGAGAGAATGAAAAAGAAGGAAGTGCCACACACTTTTAAATTATTGAATATCATGAGAACTCACTCACTATCAAGAGAACAGCAAGGGGGAAATCTATCCCCATGAACCAATTACCTCCCACAAGCCCCTCCTCCAAATTGACATGACATTTGGGTGGGGACACAAATCCAAACCATATCATCCTGTCTGTACAAAAAAAAAAAAAATTTTAATTAGCTGGATGTGGTGACATGTGCCTATAGTGCCTGGCTACTTGGGAGGCTGAGGTGGTAGGATTGCCTGAGCCTGGGAGGTTGAGGCTGCAGTCAGCCATGATTGCCCCACTGCAATCCAGCCTGGGTGGCAGAGCAAGATCCTGTCTCTAAATTAATTGATTAATTAATTAAAACTACTTACACAGGCTAAGAATAGCATGAAGGCTTCCAGTTCAAGAAAAGGCAAGTACTTTTCCCTTCTTCATAAAATTGCAATAAAATTAAATTAAATGACTACATTTACTTTTTAATAAAAAGATCTGAAGTTTATAGACCACATGAGTACACAAGACATTTCAATAAACTTGTAGCAAAACAAAAGATTGCAAAAGCCCTGTGAAATACCACAGAAATGTAGCAGTGGTGTGATGGGATTCAGCATTTTCTCTAGAATCCTCAAGGTTTGGGCAGGCCTAGTCAGGAATGGAGTGACATAACAGTGTGCAAGTTCACTCATGGCTGGGCTGTTTCATCACTATGCTAGTTGTCTCCCCACTTTAATCTAACTTCTCTCCCGACTGCTTCCTGAATTCCTGGGTGCATTTTATCTTGTGTGAAAACCAGAGGATTCTTTTCCAAAAAAAGCAGAAGCACTTACACTGAAGAAAATTTGATAGTTTATATGTATAAAAATTATCACCAACAGATAAATATAACCAAATTACACTTAGGTATAAGCACATTTTAAGGTTTTCAAAAGAGTTAAATTTATAGCTCAATTATAAATAATAATAAATACTGGTCAAAACAGTTTCTAACTTAACACAAAGTTAAAGCATAATTTAAAATTTCAAATCAAAGGGACCATGGTTTAAGAAGATGGTTGGTAAGCACTGAAACCTTTGAGGGATATACTTAATTTTAAGTAATTGTTTTAATAAGGTTATTGAATTAGAGTAGGCTACCAGTGTGATCAGGGTGGGGAACCAAATTTTAGTGGCATAATACAAGTTTGCTTCTGGCTCACAAATAGGGCGAGGCCAGTGACCTGTGAGCAACATTCTATCTTGTGACTTCTTCATCTCTTAGAGCCTTGAAATCTTCTGTAAGCCCATTTGTGTCCTGCTGGACCATGCAAGAAAGACTAAGGTTGACAAATCAAACAAAGTTTTTATTGGTTATGCTTGAAATGCATTTATCATATGGACCTGCACGCTATTAGCAGTAACTCACACTATTCCACCTATATTGAAAAATGAAACCTACCTCTGTGCATATTAGGTAAGAGAAAAAGTTTTGTAAAAAATAGCCCAGTTTCTGCCAAAATTACAGAAAATGTAAAAAGATTATAAATGTCATCAGTAACTATTTTTTAAATTAATAATAATTTGAAATAAAAAGCTGGGCATAAAACTGCAGTATAAGCCAGCACATGTTACTAATAGAAATCAGTAAATTATTATCATTTCCTCACATTCTTTATGGGGAGGTTTTAAAATTAATATCTCCTATTTTCAACATTGATAATTAGAAGAAATAGATTTAGATAAGGAATCACAAAATTATAAAATTATAAAATGATGCATATTTTCCGAGACACTATAGGAAAAAACATGTAAAATAGTACAAATTAGAGACAATAAAATACAAACAAACATGCAAAAAAAAAAAACCCATAGTATACTGAAACCTAAAATGCATAAATCATGAAGTTCAACAAAACAAATAGAAAATTAAACATTTATTTTTAAAATTAAAAAAAAAAGCACCTGAAACTATGATGGTTGACTGTCAAATATAATGCACAAAAAAGCTGGAAAACAAAAACATATGTATTATCTGTTTCCATTGACATAGAATTCAAAAACAGGCAAAAGACTGTATTAAAACTCAGGATAATGTTAACGTATTTGAGGGCAGTCATTGGAGAAGCCACATGAGTAGATGCTTCCATTTTCCTGGGAGTATTCTATTTCTTTGTCTGGCTATTTTGTTGCACAGTTAGGTATACTTTATTCATATTCACTGATTCTTATAATTCTTATGACGACAAGCCAGTTTTATCTATAAAATATTTCAATAAAATATTTTTAAAGCAAATATATTTGTTATAGAAACAAATGATTAAAGTATCCATGAATTACCACAAACGTCACCAGAATCATTTTGTTCTTTTTAGTGCTAGGACCTTCCATGTATAGAATAAGAATCTACATCTCCCTATACTTGTGAAGACTGATACTGTAGCTGTCATATATTGTGTGCCTCTAGCTCCAGTCACTGGTGAGTATACATGGCTTGGTGGAGCGGGCATCATGGTTGGGACAGGAATGAAACTAGACAGAGAAGAATGTGGAGAAGGGTAGATTCCTATGTGACCACTAGGGTGAAACTCTGGTGCCTGAGCAACCACAACTCTTTGGACACCATTGTCTACACTAACCTGTGGGAAGTATCCAGGAGGCACACAGATAGGAGGCACATAACTCTGTGGGGACGTCACGTGAATTTGATCAGGCCTTCAGAAAACAAGAATAAAGAGTGCGGAGGGCCCAGCAAATTCAGATTACAGCCATGCTGCCCTTTCTAGGGAAGGTGAGGGGTAAGGACAGAACCACACACTGGTTGATGGGGGGACGGCCAGGGAGATGAGAGACCTAGGGAAGGAAAGAGGAAACAGAATATTAGAAAAGGGTGGTGCAAGAGGGGAAATACTAAACACTGGTAAGAAAAGTGGGGGGAGAGGAGAGAAAAACGGAGGAAAGGTGGAAATGGGAGAGGCAAGAGGGGAGAAAGGAAGGGGTAAACAGGAGACCAGTAAGAGAAGAAAAGGGAAGGATAAAAAGGGAGACAGGAGACAGTGAAGAAGAGGAGAGTAAAGAGGAAGCCCCAAACTTTTGAACGTAGGAATAAAACTACACAGCTTAGCTAAAAGATATATCAGGACTTGCACAATTGGAAGCCAGGTATTATCTGGTCATGGTGTTTGGATCTGGTTCATCAAATCAGAATGAACGGGTGCTTTCCTTCAACTGTTGTAGGGAGGTGAGCTAATCCTTTCCAGGTGGTATGCGAACAGATGTAAAGGCCTTCTGCTAGCATTAGTGGAAGAGAATCATGGTCATAATGAAGACAACAGACAACAAACAGGTAAGAGCCCAGACCGAATTACACCAGGCTAACTTTCCTTTGTATTATTTGTGCCATATCAGTTAATAATCATCCTTATGAGACACTTCTTTTTTTTTTTTTTTTTTTCGAGATGGAGTTTCATTCTTGTTGCCAAGGCTGGAGTGCAATGGCACGATCTTGGCTCACTGCAACCTCCACTCCCAGGTTTGAGCGATTCTCCTACCTCAGCCTCTGGAGTAGCTGGGATTATAGGCACCCACCACAACAGCCAGCTAATTCTTATTGTTAGTATTATATTTTATTTTTGTATTTTTAGTAGAGATGAGGATTCACCATGTTGGCCAGGCTGGTCTTGAACTCCTGACCTCAGATGATCCACCTGCCTCGGCCTCCCAAAGTGCTGGGATTACAGGCGTGAGCCACTGTGCCCGGTCATGAAACACATCTAATCTCAGTCTCATAGCTATGGAATACCAATAATTACTGGCAAAGTAGATTTATTTCCTGATCCATGATGCCCTCAGGCATTTATATCTTACTGTTACAGTAGCTAGTCAGACAGACATGAGCAGGGCCAGAGAGGCCCCCTACTACCACCAGGAATGTCAGGTGACCATTAGGTGATGCGCCGTTAGTTGTTGACTGTCTCTCTAAAATAATTGGTTGCAGCTGGCACCAGGGAAAGGCAGTCTCCCAATGGATAGAAACACCCAAAACTGGTGATTAGCAGCTTCCCGATAAGATTTCAGGAGTTTGGTGAGTGGGCTCAAGCATGTACACTAAGAGGCAAAATGGCTGATTTTAACTGGTGTATGTCCTTACAGGAACGCTTGACTGGTAAGGGAAGAATGCCTCAAGAAAGCATGCATACAATTTCAGTAAACACACTGCACATGTGGCCGCTCCCAGGTGCTGGCAGGTCACTGTGGATATGGACAGCCCACCCCAAGGGAAGATTCAGGGGAGAAGGGATGCAATACCCCAGAAGGCTGCCAACATATAATACCTCAAGTCAGAGGTCAAACCGTACCCTCAACTCTCTCAAGTCGCCTGCTTGGCCCTCGTCCAAGTATGTGCTATTTCCTTTCATTTTTGCCTTAAAACTTTTTAATAAACGTTCACTCCTGCTCTAAAACATGCCTCGGTCTTTCACTCTGCCTAATGCCCCTCAGTCAAATGCTTTCTTCTGAGGAGGCAAGAAATGAAGTTGTTGCAGACCAGTACGAATTTGCTGCCACTAACATTACCATCCCAGGAGGCCATTTAAACAATATTTTAACCAATAACTGTCTACTCTGATATCTCACTTCTGTGTAACATCCAGATTTGAAATTTCTAACATCAAGAGTTCTAGAACCATCCACAATCTTGAGTTTGCATAATTACAGGGGCTTTCTAGTCTAGGAGCTTCTCAAGCACCAGGCCTAGCACAAGTTTTCAAAATTTTTCAGTAATAAGTACAGTAGTTCTCTCTAATTTGAGGAATATATGTCCTAAGACCCCCAGTGAATGCTTGAAACTGAAGGTAGTACAGAACCCTATACACACTGTGATTTTCCTATACATACATAACCTATGATAAAGCTTAACTTGTAAACTAGGCATAGTAAGAGATTAACAATAACTAAAATAAAATAGTACAATTTTAACAATATGCCAGCATCACTACTTTTGTACTTTGGAACCCTTATAAAGGAAAAATGAAAGTTACTTGAACACAAATACTGTGATATCACCATAGCTGATCTGAAAACCTAGAAGGCTACTAAGTAACTAGCAGGGAGCATATACAAAATATATATGCTGGACAAAGGGATAATTCAAGTCACAGAAAGTGAGACAGCACAAGATTTCATTATACTACTCAAAATGGTGTGGAATTTAAAACTTACGAGTTGTTTCTGGAATTTTCCATTCAATATTTTTCGACAGCAGTTGACTATGGATAACAGAAACTTGAGAAAAAGAAACCACAGGTAAGGGGAGACTACTGCAATAGAGAAATAGCACTTAAGATGATGGTACTTAATTTGAAACATACTTTTCTTGGGCTCCATAATTCTTGGCATCAATTCAAAATACAAAGACAGGCTCAACAGTTTAAGCCACTTTCTTTGTTTCACATCCTAATAGCTTGGTGTAAGATTCTCTTCTCAGAAAAAAGAATCTCCCTCTGGGCAGCTAAGAAACAATACTTGAAGAATCATATTTGATCATGAAACAATAGAGTTAAGGTTAAAGCCAGTAATTCCCTGACACCAATATTGAAATGTAGAGTGTAAATTGTAGACCACTTTCTTTTTATATGTTTCAATAGAAGTCAGCTTGCAGAATGTTAGAATATTGAAGTAAAGCTGCAGGGTTTAAAAGGACACAATATAATCAGTTAAAATAGCAAAAGAAAGTCAATCAATTGGGCGCTATGACTATAAAAAAATGGTGAGAATCATTTTTGCTTAATGAATTTAATTCACTGGGTTACAAAAATGTAGCATCTCAGAAGTAGCCCTAGGCTAACTTTTGTAGCTGACAGCCAAAGTTCTTTCATAAGTGGTCAACTAGATTATGTTCAAACACTGAGAAAACATTATCTCTTGAGACCTAGCATTCTGGTTTTGGGCAGATCCAAGTATAAGAAATTACTTGAAATTTATAATAAATGTTTTAAATCCTGGAAGAGTCAAATATTCATCTATTTAAATCACAAAAAGAGTAATGCTAATCAGTCCTCTGTATGATAGCTTCCAAAGATAATTTGCAAAACAATCCTATAAGAAAAGTGTTATACTTATTTCATATTTAAGTATACTAACCCTTATAGAATTTAAGAAACGTATATAAGTTCATACATCCAGGAAGTGTCATGCAAATGCCGGGTCCCAGAACTATCAGAATTGTTAGCTCAGTGCGTTTTAACTCTGCTCCCAAAAGTAATAAGCTTAAACAGCTTTGCTTACTCTTTGTGACTTTTATCTTGCTTATATTAGGAACATGTATTATTTGCCAGGCACATTTGCAGGAACAGGAATCCCATGGAGACTATGATCTGGAGGTTTAGAAGGATATAAAAATAATGGCATCTTTAAATATACAAAGCATTGTGAGAGACATTAAAAAAAATAAGAAGTTCTGAAGGACATGTAATGGTGACATGACCAATCTAAAGAGCTTGAGCCACGATGAGTGAAGTAAAATTTGTTTAAGGGAAGTTTCTAGTGCTTGGAAATGACAGGTGAAGGAAAAAGGGGATTCGAACTGGGTGGAAACACTAGAATCTCATAGTGTTGTTAAAGACACTGGTCTTTAGAACAGCAGGAATCCACTGACTTATTTGAATGGGTCAAGTGACATGATCAAATTTACATACTCAAATGATCACCTTTTTTGCAGACAATTTCAATATTTTGGTTGTTTTGTTTCATTTTGTTTGGCTTGCAGGTGATTAGAAAACAAAGACAGACAGATTTATAGCTTCTTAAACAAATTAGCAGCGCTGCCCTAACTCTAGGCCCCCATTTCCCTTTAGCCCCAGTTGATGGACACTGCATGTCCTCTTCCAGACTGGACATGTGCTTGTCACTGGCCTTGGTACTTAGGTGGTCAGCTTTAATCTTCTGCTTTAGCTGCCTGGAGCTTGAAGAATTTGAGTTTCTGACCCCAAAATGGAGTATAGTAAAATGAATATTGGACCAGATGCAAGACATTAGATGTGTCATTTATCATCTCTAGAATTTAGTATATTAAACTGGAATCTGGTATCTTTATCTGCAAAATTATTTGGTTGAAATTCATGATCTCCAAAGACCCTGGCAGCTCTAAAAATTGGACAGGCTATTTTATTTTTAACAGTCTATTTTAGAATTTTCTACTTTGACCTGATAACTTTTAAAAATGTATTATTATTTTCTGCTCTATACCCATTAAGCAAAGAATGAGAGGTACTTTCCTATCTAACACATTTTGGAAATATGGCTAAAAATTTGGAATATAAGATATAAATCAAGGTTCTCAAACTCAAATGCCTGCAGAAGTCAGGTGAAGGGCACAGAAAAGTGAAGCATGACAGTAGAGACACTTTCAAATTAAGAGACTGCATACCTGGGGTGAATGAGCATTTGCTGCTTAGCTTTAGCTCACAGCTCTTCTATAGGAATACATGCCCCAAGCTGGGAAATCTGATTTTTAAAAGGAAGTCAATAATCATGATTTGGCCACATAGTCTCCCAATTTTTTAAGTGTTGACAATGGGTTTGTTTTGTTTAAAAATGCCATGTGAGCTAAAAGCCAAACAAATCTGCAGGATGGTAATGAACCGTGGGTCTTCAGAATGTGACTTTTCACCTAAGTTCTTCTCATCCTCTCCTGTCTACTGTCTCTCTCTGGCCTCAACTTCAGCTTTTGTTAACAGCTCTCCCATGTTTCAGAGCCTTTACTGAAGAAAACCTACCTCAGGGCCCGTCCCAACACCACTTGCATCAGTATCACCTGAGAATCTGTGGAAACACACATTCTCGAGCCCACCCTGGTCCTACTTAATGAGAAACTCTGAGGGTGAGGCCTAATAATCTATGTATTGTCAAGCCCTACAGGTGTTTCTGACACCTGCTAACACTTGAGAACTGATGAATGAAGCTTTTATTTAGAAAATGTGGTTATCAATCCTGGCTGCACATTAGAGTCACATAGGAGCTTACTAAGTTTACTTTAAAATAAATTAAACTCATTTAATTGGCCTTGTGTGGTACCTGGGCATCAGTAAATTGTAAAACTCATTCTAAAGTGAAGGTAAGTTTGGAACCCACTGGATTTTCCCATCAAGGAACTTAGCTCTGGTTGACTCTGATAGAGAATGATTTCCTAAACCTTAGAAGACTAAGGAGTGATAGATTATGCTTCTCTTTTCCACTTAAACTCCTGGGATGTGGCTGGACTTCAGAAAAGAATATTGCTGCCTGCAGATTCATTATATAAGTACTGCAGCCTTTACAGTAGCATAGCAAAAAATATTCCTCATGACCAATGCTGCAGGGGAAGTAGCGCTCTTGAGGTTTTATGAAGTGGCATGCTGGGTTGTGAGTAGGGTGTGAGGATTAGGGAGGGCCAATATCCAACAGCTATCAGTGTAGCAAAAATCAGTCTAACCACAAGATGTACCAGAAACCAGGTCCTTTCCCTGTTCTTACACCATACTCCAAGGGAAGCCCCAATTACACAGCCCCGAAACCAAAAGCCTAGTTCTCTAGTTTCTGAACTCAAGCTCCAGAAAATCAGTTCCGCGGTGTATTAGACTCTGTTAGCAAACTCACAGAGAATGAGAACAAGTCCAAAGTGTTGATTAAAAAGTTGTCTTTAGTATCGTGTAACATAATTAAAAAATAAACAATTGCTTAATTTCAATATTTTAAAGTTAATACTTAAGGATTATTGGTTTATGCAAATAATGCAAAAATTAATTTGCTGGTATTTTAAAAACAAAACTATCAACACTATTTTAGCATCACGAAAAAAATAACAATAGCATTTTACATTTTAAGAAAACAATAATAGTATTTACATTTTATTTAATGCCTATTTTCCTTCAGGGAATGTTCTAAATACTTTTAAGGTGTTATCTCATAGCCATTCTACTATTACGATTCTTATTTAAGAAATTAAGATTCCCAAAGAAAAGAGAAGATAAATAACTTGCCTAATATCCATGGCTTAATCCAACAGTATGAGCACCAAGTTATCAATATGGAGTTATAATATGCTCTTTCAATAGATGATGGATGGATGGATAGATAGAAAGGTAGGTAGGTAGGTAGACAGATAGACAGATGGGTATAGAAACTATATGAAATGCTTATTAATTCCAACATCAATGAAGGAAGAAATATAAAGTCATGATTCAAAATGCAATATTATTATGAAAATAATCTGCACTTCAATTTTAGTAGAATAAGTGTAACAGCTAATTCAAAAGTGTATATTTAATAAATAAATAAATAATATATTTTAAAGGACAGTATATGCTTTAGCACTGGCAAAGGCAGTGTATATCAGAGTCTAATCCAGTTAAAAATGTAGATCTAAACATTGAAAAAAGTCGTTAGATTTTTTAAAGTAATATTAATAATGATTTAGTTGAATTATTTAATATTTTAACATACAATTAAGATATAGTAGCTCAGGTGAGCATGACACCTGTAAACTCCACTTTAGAAGACTGCAATGAAAGATAACAAATGAGAAAGAAACCTAAAATCACTTAGCCAAGCTCAACTATAGAATCCATATTTCTCCAGTCAAGAAGTAAAACATAAGTGTAAAATGGTGGGGAGAGACTGAAACTGAGATGTCTAGGTCCAGAAGCAGATGACTGACATCAAGACTCTGGCTCCTGCATGGTAATAAGTAGAACATGTGCATTCCCCTAGAACTTGGTCTAGAGCCAAATTCACTGTTTATAGGGCTGAGTGAGTGTCGGCCACTCATAAAAGGGGAAAAATCAAACAAAGACACATGAATACAAAATCCTCACTAATAAGCTGCTACTGCTTGGAGTGTGATTTTATAGAAAACTATGCGGCTATGTAGTCTGGGGATAAACACAGAGTATCACTACCAGATTCTAAGCCAAGCTGCCAATGACTTTCGGTCAGAGTTTGCTCAAGCCCCATATCCTCATGTGGCAATAACTGGAATACTTTTATACAACTATGCTTTAGGTAATTGTAATAGACTTGGATGGAAGAAACAGAAAAATTTAAAAAAGGGAAGGAGAAAAAGGGGGTGGGGAGAGAGAGAGAGAGAGAGAGAGAGAGAGAGAGACACCCATTGAAAGAAAACCTGCAAATCAAAGTGAACAATTGGACAAGAAACCTACAGCACATGAAATTAAATACTAGAATAGCTGATATTATTGAAAACAAATACATTGAGGATGTTCAAAGAGTTAAATGAAGGCATCCGTTAAAAATAATATAAAATAATATAAAAATAATGTAAAATTATAAATTATTTTTTAAAAATAGAAATAAGACAAGATCAGGTGATTATAAAATAAATAATTAGAAATTAAAATGTAAAAGAAGATATAATCTCTAATATATACAACAATAAATAACTATTATGCAAATGTGATACAATGTGAACATTTGTAGGATTTTGAAAAGAAGAAGATAGGAGAAATGGAGGAGAAAAAAAATATCTGAACCAGTGATTGTTAATACATTTCCAGAAAATCAACAAAGGAACACTGAACTTCAACTGGGCTTTTGACCAAATGGACCCAACAGACATTTACAGAACATTCACCCAGCAGCTGCAGAATATGCATTTTTCTCATGAGCACATGGAATATTCTTCAAAACAAATGTAGGCCACAAATAAAGCCTCAATAAATTTTAAAAAATGAAAATTGTATTAAGTATCTTCTCATACCACACTGGAATAAAACTAGAAATCTATATTGAGAAATGTTGGAAATTATACTAATACATGGAAATTAAATAACATGCTCCTGAGCAATCAGCCAATGAAGAAATTAAGATCAAAATTAGAAAAATCTTTTGAAACAAATGAAAATGAAAACACAACTTACCAAAACTTGTGGGATACATAAAAAGCAGTGCTAAGATAATAGTTTACAGCATTAAAAGCACACATGAAAAAAGTAAAAAAGATCTCAAATTAACAGCTTAATGTCACATCTTAACAAACTAGAAAAAGAACAAACAAAAACCCATGTTAGAAGAAAAGAGAAATCGCAAAGATCAGAGCAGAACTAAATGAAACAGACAGAAAACATACAATCAATGAAATGAAAAGTTGTTTTTTTTGAAAAGATTAACAAAATTTTTAAACTGCTAGCTAGACTAACCAGAAAAAGAAAAAAAAAAGATTTAAATAAACAAAATCAGACATGAAATAGGAAACATTACAACTGATATCACAGAAATACAAAAAAATAATCAGAGACTACTAATAGTACCTCTGTGCAAAAAAACTAGAAAACCTAGTGGAAATGGATAAATTCCTCAAAACACACAACACCCTAAGATTGAGCCATAAAAAAATGGAAATCCTAACAGACCAATAATGAGTAGTGAGATTGAATCAGTAGTAAAATTATCTGCCAACAACAACAGGAAGCCCAGAAGCAGATGGATTTATGTCAGAATTCTATCAAACACTCAAAGAAGAGTGAATACCAATCCTCCTAAAACTCTTCCAAAAAATTGAGGAGGAAGGAGCCCACTCTAACTTATTTTATGAAGCCAGTATCACCCTGACACCAAAATCAGACAAGGACACAACAAAAAAGAAAACTACAGACTATATCCCTGATGAACATAGATGCACAAATCCTTAACAAAATTGTAGCAAACTGAATACTACAGCACATTGAAAAGATAACATACCATGAAAAAGTGGATTTTATATCACAGATGCAAAGATAGTTCAACTTTATAAATATGATATATCACACAAACAGAACTAAGGACAAAAGGCATGTAATCATCCCTATAGATGTATGAAAAACATTTAATAAAATTTAGCCTCCCGTCACGATAAAAATCCTCAACAAACTAGGCATAGATGGAACATATCTCAAGATAATAAAAACCATATATGATAAACCCACAGACAGCATCACACTGAATGAGGAAACATTCAAAGCATTCCCTTTAGGAAATGGTACAAGACGAGGATGCCCAATTTCACCACTTCTATTCAACATAATAGCTGGAAGTCCTAGCCAGAGCAATCAGGTAAGAGAAATAAATAAAAGATATCCATATTAGGCAAGATGAAGTCAAATTATTCCTGCTTATTGATGAAATGGCTTTATATAAAAAATACCAAAAGATTCCACCAAAATCTCTTAGACTTAATAAAAGAATTCAGTAAAGTTTTAGGATCAAAAATTAACATATAAAAGTCAGTCATGTTTCTCTACACCAACATCGATCAAGCTGAGAATCAAATCAAGAAGACAACTGCATTTATAATAATTACAAAAATATGCCTATGAATATATTTAACCAAAGAGGTACAAAATCTCTACAAGGAAAATTATAAAACCCTGATTTTTTTCTACAATTTTTTCTCCACAAGCAAATGGAAAAATATCCCATGCTCATGGATAAGAATAATTAATAACATTAAAATGACCATACTGCTCCAAGCAATCTATAGAGTCAATGCAATCCTTATCAAAATACCAATGTCATTTTTCACAGAATCAGGAAAAACAATTCTAACATTCATGGAACCAAAATAAACCCTGAATAGACAAAGCAGTACTAAGCAAAAATTTCTAAGCTGGAGTCATCACATTACCTGACTTCAAATTATACTACAAAGCTATACTAACCCAAACAATATTGGGTTACTGTTACTGCTTTTACTGGTATAAAAGCAGTTATATAAATTAATGGAACAAAATAGAGAACCCAGAAATAAAGTCACGTATCCACAGCCAACTAATCTTTAACAAAGTTAACAAAAACATATAGTGGGGAAGGTACACCCTATTCAATAAATGGTTCCAGGAAAACTGGATTCCCATATGCAAAAGAATGAAACTGGACCACTATATCATCATATACAAAAATCAACTCAAGATGGATTAAAGACTTAAGTGTAAGACCTGAAATTATAAAATTACCAGAAGTAATCTCAGGGAAAACTCTTCTGGACATTGGTCTAGGCAAGAAATTCATGACTAAGACCTCAAAAGCACAGGCAACATAAACAAAAAATAAACAAATGCAACTTAATTAAACTAAAAAGCTCTGAACCACAAAAGAAATAATCAAGAGAGTGAAAACAGACAACCTACAGAGTGAAAGAAAATATTTGCAAACTATTCATTCCACAGAGATTTTCATACTATTAGTCTATTTTTCACCAATAAGACACTGTCTTGATTACTGTAGTTTTATAGTAAGTCTTGAAGTAGAGTCAGTTCTCCGATTCTATCTTCTCCTTCAATGTTGTGTTAGCTATTCTGAGTCTCTTGCCTCTCCCTATACATTTTAGAATCAGTTTGTTAATATCCACAAAATATCTTGCTTGGGTTTCTATTGAGATTGCATTGACTCTATATAACAATTTTGGAAGAACTGACATCTTGAAAACATTAATCCATGTTCTAAATGAACATGAAGTATCTCTACATTTATTCAGTTTTTCTTTGATTTCTTTCATCAGATTTTGTAGTGTTTTAAAAAAAAATCCTGTACCTATTTTGATTAAGTTAAGCTAAGAATTTCATTTGGAGGTCAGCATGAAGCAGCTTATCAACCTCGTATTACACTACACAAATTACAAAATTTCAAGAATAAAAAAATTATTCAATTGAAAAATCAACCAATGAAAATCCATAAGTCCAAAATTTAGAGAGAGAAATAAATAATAAATGAAAATCTCATACTGATATGATCTATATAATCCTAAACTATATAACATAACAATATTTCAAGGCGTAATTAAAAATCTCACACGTACAGTAGATTTTAATGTATATTTACCATACATATAGATCAAGCAATAACATTTAAAATAAAAATGTGTTGAGCAAAAATGAACAAACATGACCTAAAAGATTAAGTCCACACATAAAAACTAGCTTAAGCATTACCTTGCTACATGTTTTGTGTAAGATTTCACTACGATAAGCATTTGCTAAATGCAAAGGAATTTACTTAAATATAAGGAAATGTCTCATTTTGTATCATGTTTCCTGTTTTGACTGCATTACACTGTATGAATTAATGCAACTTTATTTTACAGTTTGATTTATCATTTAGCTACTAATATGCACTGAAATACAACACAGGCATTTCCTACCTAACACGGGTAATCCGTTCTGTATGAAAATGTGAACCAAGAGCCTATTTGCCATTATTTTAAATGGAGAAACACATAATGCATTAGAATTTAACCCTGTAAACTCTCAACAATTTCTAAAATAACAATAAAACACACAAAACATACTTCTGTATGTGTGTATAGTTCTTTTTTTAAAAAAAAGCTTGCTTTGCTCTGTCTTATAATTTTAACACATTACTGAGATTCATTTTAATATTGGGTGACAGCCAGGTCTAAATTTGAAAAGGCACCATGGAAAGGAGATCAGGACAAATAAAATGGCAGATTATCTCACACAAAAACAATGATGCTGTGATAACTCCTTTAGTACCATTAACATCCAAACACAATCTCTTTTCATTGACATTCAATTCAAAAATCCGTAGATTGGTTCTGATGTTCTTTTTACTTCTTTTATTTGGATTATTACTCAAATCTGTATAAGCTCTGTATTCTCTTAAAGATGTTGTATTAATAATATAGAACATAAATATACTTTTTCCCTGTATAAAGTGTGTAAGCTCTATAAAATTTGGATATTAAAAGTCAGAAGGTGTTTTATACACAAACATTAAACAGAGAGATATTTTATGTGAGATGCATCTAATGGTATTTACGAATACACTACTGTTTGCATCACATTGTATATAATTTACCCAATAATATATATTTCAGTATTAACTGCTGCTACTAATTTGTTTCAGTTTGTGATTGCCTACTTCATTAAGGATTCAGAAGACCATTGTAGCATATCCATATTTTCCACATCTAATGCACATACAGAATTTATTTCCTATGTGATTCTAATTAGAGAAATGGTTGTCATATCAAGCAAATTTCTTTTCCCATAAAACCACTTTCAAATCACATTTTAGTGGCTGGTGAAAACAATATACCTTTTTTTCAAAAAATTTTATATAAAATTAATTTACATACCTGAGAAACATTATTTCTTTCAGTCTTTTCTTCTATGATTTAAAACATGTATGTATCCAAAGCATTCTTATAGCATTTATATATTTACATATTACAGATTAAATATGCATATGTTTCTTCTCTGCATCCTCTCTTACACTAAAAAAAAAAAAAAAAAGGATGGCAGAGGAATCAAATCAACAAGGAGAGAGAACTGGGGAGAGGAAGGATGGCAGATGAAAAATGTCAAAAAAGATTTGGAAGATGCAAATTGGATGCATAAGTGACAGTGAACTTACGTTCCACTTTTCCACTTAGTTAAGTACCTATGGCAGCATAAACAGCTAATCTGTTGTCTTTCCTTTAGCTTTAGGGATGCCTGAGAATTTGACCCTCAAATAAATCCTCCTTGAAAGACCAATGTAAGGAAAGTCTTGTATTCTTTCTCCAAGATAAATGAAGGTCCTGCAGAAGTTAGCTTGTACCAAATCAAACTCCCTTGCCTGGTTGTAGAGATTATTTATTTAGTAAGCTATTATTGATGAATAACATGAAATTGATAAATAAGCTGTAATTGAAGAGTAATGGGCAATTGATGAGATGCAGTTTCACCAGGGAACTAGAATTAGTCAAATACCCCTGGGAGTGCTGCATAAAAATGAGGTATAACTAAAAACACCAATTTATGACTCTCCTCAGCCTCCTCTCACATGAAGACTTAGATCCAATGGGAAATGACTGGGACATTTGGAGTCTGCCTCTGGGAATCACGAGGCATCTGCTAGCTGCTTGCTGCTAAGTTTGGTCTTCTCCCTGTGCTATACTCTTTTTTAAAAACTAAGTAAACTTGATACTAGGTGAACTGTATTGTGTTTTATGATTTTAATTGTTAATTTAAACCTAAAACCATCCTGGCTTGTCAAGCAGAGTTAATTGTTATCAAAGGCAGAAAGAAGGAATGGGGAGCAAAGAGGCAAAATTGTGTCACAGACCATCAGAAAGTCTCAGGAATTGAAAACACTGTTTGAAGGCAGAGATCTAGGAAATGATTTTAAAATGTACAAGATTCTAGGCTTTCCTAAAAAAATGTTAAGGAACATATACATCCCCACACTTAATGACCACATCTCTCTATGTCAGGCAACTATTCTTTTCTTACTGGCAGAAAAGGCTAGAAGTTTACTATCTGGACAATGTATTTTGTTTATATAAAAACAATCTCCTTTCCTGGGAGCCAAAAAGCAAGCTGAGGCAGAAAGGCTCAAGAGCCCTGGACTCTGGGACACCAGGAAGAACTGAGGGGGATGAATGAGGCACCATATTGAAGACAGGGAGATTGTGTACAAACCTACACCCAACTGTATACTCTAACTTCCTCCCTCAGCTTCTGGAAAAGAAGTTGCAAAATTATGCTGGAGGTGGAAGGATAGATAACACACTTAGATTCCTTGTTATTTGGAGTTTCCCCAATTAAACCACCATATCCCACTAGTTCATGTCACTCTGTGGCCCAGTATGATGAGCCCTGCCCATTCTTAGAGTTTGAAGTCACTCTAACATTAAAACTGATGATGTTTGTCAGCCATGTGAAGAATGCTTTAATAAGAACAAGGACCAAAACAAACAAACAGAGGAAGATGCTGTTCAATGGAATGAAGGAGTAAACTGAAGAAGAGGAAGCCACAACTGTCAAGGAGACAGGGGTAGGTGCTGGCAAAGGAGAAAGGGGAAGGCACTCCCGGGGACAACGGGGAGGGCATCCTGGAATAAATGGTCTGCATCTTACACAGAACATTCAGTTCCCATTAGAAGAGGAGAAAAAAAGACACCTAGGAGGGGAGATTTCAGATTTTAAAAATGACAGAGGTAATTTACCTGATGTGCTTAGTGGTGTTATGATGAACATTTTACTTGAGAGTTTGGGGATAAACTGGTGATAGTTAAAAAGGAAAGAAAAAAATGAAATTATGTAATTATTAACTGGTGAAAAACCATACAGTTAATCAAAGTGCATCCCAGCTGTAATATTAACTGACATAGTTATATGGTGAAGACAGTAATATTAGTTTGCTGAAAGTTATCATATAGCTTGAGTGGAAAAACAAGAGATGGGTATTTATGATTTGAGGAAGAGTACATGGGGCTCCACTGAATACTATACTAGGAAGTCCACAGATAAAGCTATGAGCTTATTTGGGAAAATGGAAATAAATTTTAAAAAAAAAGAGCTAAATGAGTCAAAAATTGTTGCTTCTAGGGAATGGGGCATAGAGATAGGACCTAGTGAAAAAACAGGTTGTCTTATTTCATTAGATGCTATATAGGATCACCTTATTTTTTAAAAGCATGTATATATGATACAATAATAATAAAATACAAATGTATAAGAAATGAATTCTTCCTCTAATCTTTCCTTCAAAGATAGCACCTTTCACCCTTTGGTGGAAATTCCTCACCCTGTCTAGAGAGCTAAGTCCAGTTTATTGCTTAGTGTCCTTTGGCCAGTTTTTTGTTTTTGTTTTTGTTTTTGTTTTTGTTTGTTTTTGTTTGAGATGGAGTTTTTCTCTTGTAGCCAAGGCTGGAGTGCAGTGGTGCGATCTCAGTTTACTGCAACCTCTCACTCCCAAGTTCAAGTGATGCTCCTGCCTCAGCCTCCCGAGTAGCTGGGATTACAGGTGCACACCACCACACCTGGCTAATTTTTGTATTTTAAATAGAGACAGGGCTTCACCCTGTTGGCCAGGCTGGTCTCAAACTCCTGACTTCAGGTGATCTGCCAGCCTCGGCCTCCCAAAGTGCCGGGATTACAGGCGTGAGCCACCGCGCCTGGCCTGGCCAGTTTTTTACACTTGCTATGTCTTAGCTTCCTTATGCAAAGTTAATTGCTAAACCTATTTCATAGGGTTGTTATGAAGGTCTAATAGAATCATTCATGTAAAATAGCATAGTGTCTAGAATGTCTTGATGTATCATTACAAAAATTATAGGTTTTCAGTGGTTATATAATTTCTAATAAAAATCTTTTAAATGTATTGGTTTGTTTTTTATTTTCGTTTAAATATATAAGGTGCATATTTTCTCTGTCTCTCTCTCTCTCTCTCTCTCTCTCTATATATATATATATATATATATATATACACATATATATATATATATGGACCATGTTTATTCAGCCTTGGCACTCTAGGCACTTTAGCTAGGATGACTCTTTGCTGCTAGGAGCTGTCCTGTGCATTACAGGATGTATAGCAGCATCCTTGAGCTCCACACACTAGACAGTGGTAGCAGGACCTCCATTCCCCCAGCTGTGGCAACAATAATGCATCTAGACATCACCAAGGCCCTCTGTGGGGGCAAAAATCACTACGTCTTATTGAGAAACACTGCTGTATATCAACTTATTTTCCCTAGTGATTACATTTCAAGCTCTCAACATGTATTTAACTACTCCCTAATCAGTGGATACCTGATTAACTTATGACTTTTAATATTATAAAGATGCTGAAGTGCCTGACTTAAATTTATAATCAAAATTCTATGATGAACATTATTATATATTAATATTTGTCTGTCTTTGAAAATATCCTAGAAATATAAAAGGCTATACATAATGAAAACTTTAAAAAATTTAAGATTAAAATTGAAACTCATAGTGACTTTTAAAATAATGTATAAATGTATATAAGTATGTGAGAATAGATTATATATAGATATTTATAATTTCATCATCCTTAAAATAATTAGGATTCTTTGCTGTAAAATCTTTTCCAAATAAAAATAAAACCCTTTGCCATTATTACAGACGTCTCATAAACTTGGGAGCAAGCACTTTATTTGGGAAGACACTGCCATTTTCAGGTATCATAACTGAACCATGAAAATGTTCTTGAGAGCATTTTCTTCAAAAGAAAAGTTTAGCATATACAAATAGTAAAAAACTGGAATGCTGACTAAATGTTTCCCTTTTCAAAGATAGAACTCTAAGGTACCAATTAAGATATGTTTATTATTTATGAGAGTTTCATATATTAGTTTTGAAAATATCGGCATCAGTATTGACGTTTACTTTCCATAGGCAAATGGTTGTGCTGACTTCATACAGTTAAGATTTTGAAAGTTCAGATGTTTCCTTCCCATTAACACAAAGCTGTCCAGATGCAGAAAGTCATAAAAACCAACATAAAGTGTTAATGAGACTGAGGGGGATGGTGAGATGCCTCCATCCTGAATATTTCATGATCTGTCACCATCAAAAGGGTGTCAGGATTCACTTGCGTTGTAGCGCAGTTTTCAAATTCATGATAAAAGTGCACAGACAAACCTCTAGCACTTGATGGCATCCTCAGCAAAATTGTTCCAAGAACCCTCTCTGCTTTAGGGATTCATCAAGAAAACTACTGTTGGTGTCAGCCATAGTTATATTGAGTTGTTTTTGTTGCATTGCTTTGTTTTGCTGTGAATTGATTTTATACATGCACAAATGGCCCCCTTTCTATTCCCTCAAAATAATCATCATCCAGCTTGTCACGATATCTGCTTTGCCTGACATTAGTCACCACTTTAGATCATACGAATGGTTTCTTAATAGGCTAATGTATCATATAGGGGTGATATTTTTATTTTTAATAAATAGTATCATTTTACAAAAGCAACTTCTGTTTTGCAGAAATTTTGAGACCACAGATCACAAAAACTTAAATTTAAAAACACATATCCAATCTGAGAGAGGTTTGTCTTACCTTTTGATATATCCTCGCAGATACTTGTTCTACTTATATATGCATGTCCATTTTTTTACCAAAATGAAATTATACATACAATTTCATAATAGGCTTTCTTCAGTTAATAATCTCCATCTTCCAAAAGAATACGTTTTTATCTTATATTACAGTAAGTTGTATGAGCAAATTTCCTCAAATGTCTCCAATATGTCCTTGCAACCAGTTTGGTCTTAAGATAATCCATTCAAGAGGCACATATTTCATTTGATTTTTACTTTTCCTTAGCTGCATTTACCTAGCGAGTCACTTTTAATTACTCTTGTTTTTTGAGAAGACCTGGCTTGAGGTCCTACTAAAAGCCAACTTTTCTACATTTGTGGGGTTCCTTTTTTACGGTGTCATTTAAGTTGTTTGTCATTTGTGGATCCTGTAATATGAAAATTAGATATAATGGCTAAAATGTTTAAGTTAAGCAAGTTTGGAAAAACACATCCTAAGTGGTAATGTACACTTTATATTCCATCTTGTCAGATAACACATACCATACGGTTTGTCTTGTCATTAATATTGATGACTCATTGCTTGATTAGGATCATGATAGTCTGACCCCTCAACTGTATATTCACATTTCCCTCTTTGCAACTAGAAGCTAAAATGTGATATAACTTTGATATCACCATACAATTTCCTGTTCTCTCATTAACTATACGACTAATAGTTTTGACATCAGTTTATAATCCTTGTCTGAGTTAATATTTTCATTAGAGGGGATTGTGGAATGGTGATTTGTTTTTTCTATCATTTATTAGCTGTTATTCTTATCCAAAATAGAACTTTTCATCGTCAACAGGGTTTAGTTGGTTATGCCAATTGCAATTTCTAATTTAAAATTAAAATGTATGTTTTATCTTTTCCTGTTAGTTACCAATTTTCAAAGGAGTAGGTTAGTTTCATTGCTGCTTCAAATGGCAATTTTTAGCTAGCTTCCTTCCCTCCCTCCCTCCCTCCCTTCCTTCCTTCCTCTCTCTCTCTCTCTCTCTCTCAATTTTGGACTCATGGATTTTCATTGGTTGATTTTTCAACTGACTAATTTTTTGTTCTTGAAATCTTGTAATTTGTGCAGTGTAATACCAAATTGATAAGCTGCTTCATGCTGACCTCAAAACGAAATACTTAGCTTAACTTAAACAAAATATGTACAGGATTAGTTTTTTAAACCACTACAAAATCTGATGAAAGAATCCAAAGAAAAGCTGAATAAATGTAGAGATGCTTCATGTTCATGCAGAAGATGGATTAATGTTTTCAAGATGTCAGTTCTTCCAAAATTGTTATATAGAGTCAATGCAATCTCAATAGAAACCCAAGCAAGATATTTTGTGGACATTAACAAACTGATTCTAAAGTGTATACGGAGAGGCAAGAGACTCAGAATAGCTAACACAACATTGAAGGAGTAAAGTCAGAGAACTGACTCTACTTCAAGACTTACTATAAAACTACAGTAATCAAGACAGTGTCTTTTTGGTAAAATAATAGACTAATGAATCAACGTAACATAATAGAGAGCAGAAATAAATCCACCTACGTATAGGGAACTGATCTTTGACAAAGGAGCAAAAGCAAAATACCAAGGAGTCAAATAGTCTTTTCAACAAACGGGACTAAAACAACTAGACATCCACATGTAAAAAAAATAAAAATAAAAATGAATTTAGACACGAACTTTACACTCTTCAAAAAAATTAACTTAAAATGGGTCACACGCCTAAATGCAAAATGTAAAACTATAAAACTCCTAGTGGATAACATGAAAAAAAAATCGAGATTCTTAATCACCAATTCACAATAATAAAATTCAACTTTAATACTGCAATGATTTCACTTATTTTTTAACTTTCCATTACATGAACAAATATTGAATCTTAATACAATTAACATAATTACTTATTTGACTTATAAGACAACATAAAAATAGTTTTCATATAATATCAATATTACTAAAAAATCTTAATGAAAGTTTAAAGTATCTTATTTCTTTTTATTCTTAGAACACTTTTACTAAGGAAATGAGTCAAACTTCTCTGTTAAAAAGCCACTGAGAGCAATTCTTTTTGTGTGTAGTGATGTTTGCAGTTTGGAGAAGCTCTTACTACGAGAATGCTATGGAGAGAGAGGATGGGTTGAGACAGCTTCCTAGGAGGAGACCGGTGCTCAGTCTCTAATCATGTTCACTTAGAATCCAGAAGCTTCAGGTTGATGCTTCTGTTAACAGGTGCACTCAAATCTATTTGTTAGATTACTAAATTTATGGAATTACAGAAGGCCCTGAGTTTATTATACCTAAGGGTGATATCTGAATGCATGAAAGAGGGAGGAGAGGCTGAACACGGTTTGCAACTGTGCTCTACAGATCCCTGGGCACCTGGGCTGTTAGTAAGAGGAGTCAGAATTTCCACAGGCCTATGAAGCATTATCTCTTGGGTGAATAATTAATATGTATCATTGTATTTATGGGGTATTGACTCTTAAACCCTCTTATTTTAAAATTAAGATTTACAACAGGTAGGATATGAAATATGGGAGGCAATTAGTATTAACAGCAAATACTTGATTCAGGTTGAGTTTCTCCCAAGTGATAGAAAAGATTGGCAGGCAGTATGCCCATGACTCTTTTAAGCAAGCAGGCTTGATCCATTTTCTTTTGTCATCAGCTAATTTTTTTTCTATAAAATATCAATAATTGTCTTTTGAATAAATTTCTCACAGAAACAACTTGAAAAAGTTTAAAACCATGTACTATCCTTGTTAATAACACTACTGAGTCTCATAATTTCTTACAGACCAAGACATACTCTTCTTGTTGAACAAGACATGCTCTCTAAATCCTAATGTTTTAATATTTATATCTTTGCAAAAAGACCCAAGAAAATATTTCTATAAGTAATTTATAAAAGTTTTAGAAAGTATACTCCACACTTATATTATTTTATGTTCATTTCTCAGTATTTAAATAACATAAAAATTTATCCTAATCATTACTCCCTTTCAGCTATTATTCTTTTAAAGTTCAATTGTGCATTCAATATGATTTCCCTTCTAACTACTTTGCCACATATTTTACCATTTTTAAATATATTTTAATTTTGCAAGCAATAAAGTGCAATTTGAGTTTAAAATTTTTTAATTCATGGATTTTTCAAAAAATTATATTTCCTCTATCACAAATAATTCAAGTACAACTACATCATACAGTGTTAAATATAATTATTTACAATAGAAGAGCAAATCATATATAAAATGTTTGATGTTAGAAAATTATTGGGCCATTTGTCTGAGAGGGCAGAACTGATCCTGTCACTAGAGGATGCTGTGTAACTACGGAACAGAATATTAACAGTTTGTCACTAAGGTAAATGAGATGAAATAAAAGTATAGATAAATTTTCTCAAATATACCTCCATAAAAAATGGCCAACTTATATTCTCACCATTGTTGGAGAATTCCCATTTGACAGTAACTGCTATAAATATTGACTATGTTTTATTAGAAATATATTCTTAGTTTTTTTGATGTTAAAAACATGCAATTTTTTAACATTTGGAAAATATAAATAAGCAAAAGTAAATAAAAATGGCTACAATCTCACAAATCAGTCATAAGCACTAATATTTTTTATGAGTTAGTTAAACTGTATGTATGTATAAATTTCTAAAGATAGAGATTTAAGTGTTTTGTTTCCCAACAATATTATATATAGTTTAACTGTTAGGTTTATTTACTGAAGTATTTGTAAACCTTATTTTAGTATATTAATAATGTGACCATAACTTGATTAAATTAACAGTTCCTCTCTTATGGAATAGTGTCAATTTTTTTTACTATCATAACTACTGTTTCGATAAGTGTATTTGTAAAATAATTTTTTTACATGTGTCTAGTGGCTAAGATTAATTCTTACAAGTGATATTGAGATATTGATGGGTTCGGTATGAATTTTTGAGGCTGTGACAGAGTCTGCTGATTGCCTACCCAAATTGATTCTCTCTTATAAAAGATTTGTGGCCATTCACATGCCCTTGCCTGCAGAATGTTACGTGACAGAGTTCCATCCAGCGAGATCTAATTCAAGATGGACGTCGGGGAAAGTTCTTTAATGAAAGTCTGACTTTTTTGACATCCTTCTATTGTACCTGTAACACTGGGATGTGGAGACAGGAATGTCATCACAGAACTGGAGTTCTAGCAACTGCATCAGGAAAATGAATAGCAATCTAGTAATGGCTGGATGTGCATGCAGGTGGAGGGAGTGCATGTAAGAGAGAGAGAAGAGATGATTTTATGGAGATGGGTACTATCCCTGGATTTTCCATCTCCAGTTTTCCTATTATGTGAGAGCACAAAACACCAGAATAGTTTACATTACGACTCCTTCAGCTTTTGCTATAGACAATTTAATTTCTAATTGCTATAATAGAGCAATGCCTTCCAAAAAGGTGCATTTTAACCAGTGGCAGATTAGAGAACATATGTCATAGTGCCCCTACTACTATTGGATATCTGGTGTATAATCTATCTTTTCTTCTAATTTAATAGGCTACAATAATTTTTATTTTTTTTATTATTATACTTTAAGTTTTAGGGTACATGTGCACAACGTGCAGGTTTGTTACATATGTATACATGTGCCATGTTGGTGTGCTGCACCCATTAACTCGTCATTTCTCGTAATGCTATCCCTCCTCCCTCCCCCAACCCCACAACAGGCCCCTGTGTGTGATGTTCCCCTTCCTGTGTCCATGTTTTCTCATTGTTCAATTCCCACCTATGAGTGAGAACATGCGGTGTTTGGTTTTCTGTGCTTGAGATAGTTTGCTGAGATAGCAAAGACTTGGAACCAACCCAAATGTCCAACAATGATAGACTGGATTAAGAAAATGTGGCACATATACACCATGGAATACTATCCAGCCATAAAAAAGGATGGGTTCATGTCCTTTGCAGGGACATGGATGAAGCTGGAAACCATCATTCTCAGCTACAATAATATTTATTTAAATTGGATTTACTTGATTACTACAGTGGTTAAACGTTTTTTTACATAGGTATTTACCATTTGTATTTCTTCTTTTGAAAATTATGTCTTACCCATTTTTCTATTAGGATATTTTCTCTACTTATTAATTTACAAAGGTTATTTCTAAATTGGGGCTATTAATCTTTGATCATGGAGGCTATTCATCTTTGATCTTCCATATATACTAATCTTCCATATATAATAATTTTTCTACTTTATTGTTTATTACTTATGGATTATGAGAATTTCAAAAATATTTACATTTTTATTTATATGCAAATGTATTATTTTTTTCAATTAGGTTTCTATCAGTATTCTGATGCATAGGAAATCCCTGAAGTCTTTCTGAATTGCAAAATCAAATTGGACCTTTTTTTGATTACATTGTAATACTATGATGTTTTATTTAAATCTTTAATTTAGCTAAAATCTGTTTTCATATAAGGAAAATATCCTACCCAATTTTTTTACAGTGAACTATTTATCTCCATATCATTTATCAAATAATAATTTATCATTTATCTTTAAACATTTCACGTGCTATATTCTGTTTCTTAAGCAGTGAACTAACAGTATTGTGGTTGCCTACTGTATGCCAGAGTTATTATCCAGAGAGTGATGAAACAAAATTCCTATTTAAATGAAATTAGCATTTTATTTTGGAAATAGGCAAATAGCTTATTTCAGTAATATGTGATCAGGACTGACACTAGGAATCATCTCCAGGAGTTCTGTCTCTTTTTCTTTTTATTTCTATATGGGAACACATTTTAAAATAATCTTTCATATATCTCATTGTGTATATTATTCCAGAAAATGTGTACATATCAACCTAATAGTCACTGAGACAAGCTCTGCTTGGTATGTATGACTTTGCTGGTTGAATCAGAATGACAATGCCTTCTACTATGATCTGCCTGCATGAGGACTTACGGACTTACTCCTCTTTTTTTTTTTTTTAAGTGTCACCAGGTCTGCTCATGGTTCCAGAATGCCAGGGTCCTACTGCCTTCTGGATCCCTCAGTATAATTCTTCTATGTCCCCCTGGTTTATCTCAGTCACCCTCCAGAATCATATATAATGCAGAAACACTGATGGTAGGTCACCAGCAGGAACTGCCTTGAAAGGAATGATGTTCCCCAGAGAAAGGTGTATCTATGCCATCAAAAGGCTCTCTACAGGCTCATGTTTTCAAGCAAGATACAGAATCTGTCAAACTGTCAGAAACCCAGCATGAAATGAGTTTGTATGAAACCAAATCACAGTGCCACTGTCATAAGGAAACACTACTGCCCTTATTATTTTACTTGAAAATAAACAAAAATAAAAGTTTTTTATTCTATAGCTTTATTTCCTGATTCCAAGAGAAAGTTTCCCTCTTATAATCAAATGAAGTTAAAATAATATTCTAAATGTAATTTCAGTGTTTAGTTTTATCTGACCTCTGGAACCAAGTGGGCAATCACTTTGTGAGCTAAAACTTGAAGTTAGTGTAATATCATCATAGTTAACTTTCCGTAAAAAGTAGCCTCAAGCAATAATTGTAGGATCAGGTTAAGTTGGAAAAGATTTACATGTTGAGTCTCAGCAATAAAATCAGAACTAAAGAGTACACAGTAATGACGGTAAGTTGTGCTTCCAAGGATCTCATGTCTCTGATGAAAATAATAACTTCAATATACCCCTAATCCCCAAATTCTCTGCCAAAGGTTTCAGAGGAATCCATAGCCCTCATAGTACACTTCAGTGAAGTTTATCTGGTGTTTGGCTTCAAACTCCTAGAACTTTGCTATTCTGACATACCATGTTGAACCACCCATAGGCTCAGAGTATATTCTTCTGCTTTTCTACATTCGAGGCCAACTTCATGGTATACCTGGCTGTGCTTCCCTGGCCTAAGCCATGCCCTGATATTGGCCCTCGGAACTTCAAAATGCTCAAAGCTATAGAGAAAACAAATTAGAAAAAAAAGGCAGTGGGAGAATTTGTCAATGATTTTGATCCATTAATATTCCTGTCACTAAAATGGAAGCTTGAAATATTTACTAGACGTATCACTTAACAGCTGCAGCAAAGATACACACACTCACTTAGGATATGAGAGGCGATCATGGGAGATGTCTCAGGCACCACACCAAGCTAGTGGGCTTCAGACTGTTTTAATTCAGAGAATTAAAAACAGAATCCAGATATTCTAGGTTTAATTTTTCTCCTCCTCCTTCTAATAACTCTAGTACTATTTTTGCCTGACCTCCTGAGCGACCCAGATAATTACACTTTAGCTAACTCCCTCAATACCCCACCCCACATTAAGCCAAAGTGATACTTTTCGTTTGCCTATGCAATCTTACAATCTATCCCTAACAAACTAAGAGGAGTACTGGCCCTTGTATTCTCCATTCTCGTTCTAGCAGTTATTCCCGTACTTCGGACGTCTAAACAACAAAGCATAATATTCAAGCCATTAATTCAATGCCTATACTGAACCTTAGTGGCTGACCTACTTACACTCACATGAATCAGAGGACAGCCCATCAAATACCCTATTATTGCCATCGGACAGACAGCATCTATTAGGTACTTCTCTATCATCCTCACCCTTATACCACTGAATATAAACTACTTAAATGAAAATGCCCTTGTATTACAATTCAATACTGTGGTCTTGTAAACCAGAAATGGAGAATCCCCTCCCCAGGACAACTCAAGGGAAAAGCATTCCCGCTTCATCCTCAACACCCATGGCTGAAATTCTAATTAAACTACACCCTGATTTTTTTCCCAGCACACACTTTGACTACCATGTCAGTATTAATCAATTAGCACTAATACATTAGTGCTTTTAGGTACTTCGTGCATTACTGCTAATCCCCATGAATAATATATAGTACTATAATTGCCTACTTGTACATAGTACATTCATATATAAGAATATACTACAAATCCAGTCCATATGCATATAAGCACAAATTAACAATTCCTTAACTATCGCACATCTACTATTATAAAGTGTACAATAAAACCTAATCCACACGAATATTGACCCGTATTAGGAATGCTTAATATTACATAGTGCATACATTCGTTCATCGAACATAGCACATTTCAGTCAAGAAATCTCTCGTCAACATGGATATCTCCTACTAAATTTTGGTCTCTTAATCTACCAACCTCCGAGAAATCATCATCCGGCTCGGGAGTACTAGCCTCCTCGCTCCGGGCCCATAACACTAGGGGGTGACTATTTTGAAACTATACCTGGCATCTGGTTCTTACTTCAGGGTCATAAAGCTAAGATCGCCCACACATTCCACTTAAATAAGACATCTTGATGGACTAATGACTACCACCCTATTAACCAGTCACGAGAGCACTCATGCATTTGGGATTTTTAACTTTGGTAGACGCTATCACTCACCATCGAGGAAGGCCTTGTCCCCTCTGAATCTGCTGTAGATGAACTCAGATTTGATTCCTGCCAGATCAATAAGTAGAAGCTGAGCTTATATTGAATATTCTGGGCTGGCATAATAACCATAAGCTGTTAATTAATTCATGCTTCAAAGACATAACAATCGACACACATGCACACTCACGCACGCACACTCAGGCATGTACGTTCACGCACATCCGCTCAATTTCATGAACTATTTCCGATTAAATCCACAAACCCCCTATCCCCCATCTCTGACTTTACCATCAACCTAGGTAAATGTACCCCTGCCAAACCCCAAAAACAAGAGACCTGGAACCCAGAAAATTAAAAAGAGAGAAATTATCCCAGGACTTGAGACCTAATTGAATTGGTTTGAGGGGCTTTGCCCTCCAAATTTGTATTAAAGTTTTACTTTTTATATAACAGAATTTGAATGACAAAAAAAATTAAAGTTTTTTGTGATCGTCAACTTTCTTTGAATAAATTTGGAAAATGACTAATATGTATATGTAATAATAGATATTTTTATAAAGGTTTCTTCTTTAACATTTTGGGGCATATTTTGCCTTTTTATCCTAATGACTAGACTACCAGGGACCAAAAGGTTTCTGAGGCAGACAGAATTTGACATTTTCTAAGTGTGTCTGTGACTATCTACTACCACCTTTGGAAGCTAATAAATATTGCGTGATTAATCTAAATTACAGATGTTACATCTGTCCCTTTATGCCAGCATTATAAAGAGATTTTACTGCTGCTCCTGCGATGAGAAAGTTACTTGTGTTCTGTCTTTGCTTTTATTTTCTTAATTTAATAATTAAAGTCATCCAAATTATTAGCTATGAAGGGACTCTTTTTATGGATGAGAGATTTTAGGACTTCCTATTTATATGACATCATATGTTTATCTGGTAATTAAGCACCTGAATCAATATATCTTTTAGTGAGAAACAGAAGTTTAAATACTTCTACCAGAATGAGATCAACACTGTCGTTGTTTGTTTCCCAATCTCAGGATATTGCCATTAGCTAGGGTGGTCTCTCTAAGAGTGCGTTCGCATATCCCACAGTTGGATCATAAATTCGTTCAATAAATTTATAGAAGGCTAGAAAGACCCTCCCTCCCAACCTTCCTTCCCCATGCCACGTGCATGCATCTCTTTCTCTGTTGTCTAAATATGCCCTATCTTAAACACTATGGAGGAGACAGGTACCTTAAACTGAGTTCCAGGGTTTATGAGGACAGTGACTGTGCCAAGAGAAGACACCAGGATGAGGTATGAGCTGGAATAAGACCTAGCTGAATAGACATTTCCATTCTCTTGCCTCACGTGTGAAACTGTCTCTGCTCTTTGACACCGAATTGGTTTCAGTAACTCCTTCCCCTGTATTTTCCTAACACTGGAAGGTACCATGATGACCTCTCAATAGCAGGCCTAAGATCCTGTTTATGACCTTAGTTACGAAGGATATGAAAAGTCAGTCATCCAAGCATTCTGTCTCTGCCACTTGCGAAGCTTCCTGTTACTTGTGTCATTTGGTGTCTGCTTTTGTACCTGGTATGTCCAAGAGAGATACTGAGACAGCCAAGTGGGAGGGGGCCACTGGAGAAACTCCAACCAGCCTTTCCACTGGGGTGGAGCCTCGAGAAATTCAGGACATTCGCAGCAGGGAGGAGCCCGGTCCCTCCTCTTCTGCGTGGAATCTGGGATTGGAACGGTGGATGGGAAGCACTCTAGCAGGGGACTCTGGCCTTGCGGAGGATCCCTGTTTCCCTCTTTTCCCTTTTCACTCAATAAAACCCTGTTTCACTCACCCTTTAAACCATCTGCAAGCGTGACTTTTTGTGGCTGTAGGACGGACAAGAACCGAACTAAGGAAAGTCCTGCAACATTTTTGGTGTGCAACCGCGGGGACTCAAGAAGTGGTGAGTGAAATGGGGATTCAAAACCTCTTTCTGTTGCTCCTAAGCCTTTTCATCCTCAGACATCTGAGGGTGAGGGAAACCATGCTCCCAGCCCTGTCGTTCCGGGGCCTATTCATGGCCTTTTCCTTTCTTTTTCCGGACTGATTGGAGACCAGCAGCTCCCCACCGCTCTCCCCTCCCTGCCAGGACTTGGAGGCCTGGCCTACGGCGTGGCGGGCAGCTGGCTGCTGTTGTTCTGCCAGACACCCACAGAGTCTCCTCCTCCCCGGGACAGGGAGGCCGGCTGTGACCCACAGCAATTAAATTTGTCTCCTTGGTGGAGGAACCACTTGCATAAGAATAAGAGGCTCTTCTCCAGGCGTTTCTAAACCTTTTTTCTTCCCCTTCTCTGCCTCCTCAGCAGTTAACTTGTAATTGTTTTTTGCCTTTTAGAAGATGTTTTACCAGGCCATGCCCCCACAACTGTCACTGTTTTTCTCTGCAAAATTTTGGTTGTGAAATCAAGCCTCCATCTTGTTTTATATCCTGAGGGCATCTTTGTTTAGCCATCCCGCCTGATGGGATGAGCCCTCTCAGGTCCCATATCTGCATGTTTTCCTAGCTCTGTTTTTCAAATGGCCCCAGCCAGCGACTGGGTTCTCTCCTGCCTGTCTGTTTGTATACTGTGTGTGATGTCTGTAAAAAGAGCTCTGATTAATTTGGCCTAAAAAAGACAAGCGCTTGGATGTAATATTTTTTAAAGAGAAGTTAAAAGCTATGGAACCTTTCAGTTCACATAACTTTAATTTTTGAGAAATGAAAATAGCTCTAAAGACGATCAGTAAAATGCAGGTATAATTAAAATATAAATAGGTGAACTAAACTATGCAGGTCAGATGCAAGGTTTGCTAAGTGTTTTGAGGTTACAAACTGCTTTTTGGGTTTTGAGACCTATTTGACTTGGCAGCTTCACAATTTGTAGGGTCTGGGGACATATGGAACTAACCAAGCCCTTAACTTAGAAGGGAAACCTTGGCTGCAGTTACCACACAAAGCAACTTAACCAAGTTTTCAAGTTAAAAATTGGTAGGAGTTAATTGAAACTATTAGAAATAGATTTACATGCAAGGTGTGTAAGAATAGTAAAATGTATTTTTTAGTAAAAGGTTATAAAACGGCCTGGAAATGTAAACTTCTGCCAGGATTAAAGGATTGTTTTGAGTTAAATTAGGAAAAAGCTGAAGGTTCAAAAAGTGGTGGAAAATAATCTTGCAGAAGAGGTTCTCTGAGTGAACATATTGACTAAATTCAAAAAAAATGATATTATGTGTTTTTTTTGTAAATCGAGCATTGAAATAAAAGCATAACAAAGTTTTCCTAAAGCTCTAATCTGCTCTTTGCAAAATTTTGTAAATGGATATAAAAGGTTTTTGCTTCTTTAAAATGTCTGAGTCATTATTTAGGTAAAGTAAATAACTTATGGTAATCTGGAATTCTATTTAATAATATCAAGTGTTTTAAACCTCAGACATTTAACAGCCTTACCAAAATCAAACTTCAGTTTCAAAATTGTCTTCCCTGGCACCTGGCTTTTCCAATACATCAGAGGACCCCTGAGGTGTCCAGAAAAGAGAGGCAAACAGGATTATTTGACATGTTCAGGTACGTGGGATGGCCGAAATGATGTTCAATCTTCTTTAGGTCATATTTTTGGTAAATAATACCTTATATATGTTCCAAAATTGTATGGTATTTCTAAAATTCTAATGTCTGAGTATATGCTATCAATCATAATTAAGGTTTTTATGTTAAGTTATTTTAAACCACAGAAATGATCAAACTTCTTTGCCAATCACGTTTCTAACTGTAACTACTCTGGACATTTTGCTATTCACAGACAATTGTTGTCTTGTTTTAATCCTGTTCAAAGACGGTTTATAATGAGCTATAGAACTTTTAGCAGGTGCTCTCAAATACAGGCCTCTGATAACTATAGAGATTGTAGCATTGGAATAAAGGAAAATGTATAGGACTGATAAAGAGCTAAAATGTTGATGAATATCAAGTAAAACAAGATTTAACTAAATGGACTGAACTCTGGAAACAGAATCAAATCTTTTTAACCTTTGCTTGGAATATTGCTTATCCATGTTTTGTTTTTCAGAATCCAGGAAACTTTGAACTATATACAACCTTTAATAATTAAGTAAGGTATACTCCTGGGATCAAGATTTGGAGCATGTTTGTTTCACTCTGCCTGGTTCGTCTAAAATTTGGATATTATCTCTGATTCTTATGGCAACATAATTGTTTGTATCAGTGCAATAAGAATCCAGTTTTCTTTTGCAACAGGACACAACTGGAGAAACTGGTAATTTTACCAAGGCTTTGACTGGAAGGGTATGCTTCCCTTTAAAGAGTCAGTCTCAACTTGCAGAGCCAATAAAAGTCCCATGGGAGACTGGCCTCCTACCCTCATCTACACAGTCCCTGTACAGAGTTCTTGACCTCTTGTGAGTAAAGAATGTCAATTTTTAACAGGTCTAGGAGCTCCAAGTTTATCTTAGGACCTTAAGAGGAGAGGATTAGCCAACTCTCAGGTATTTGAGGATGCAAACCCACGGCTGAGCTCGGCTTTAAAAGGTCTTGTCTGAGATTCCTTGTGGAACAAACTTCCATCAAAGCCAATCCAAAAGGCTTTTGTAGAAATAATTATTCTTGCTGCACTTTATGCAAATAATCAGGGCAGTTATAAAACTAAAGTCTATGTTGCAAATAACACAGTCCTGTTATGATTTTTTTTTAACAAAAATGAGGACTAGAGAGAGAGAAGTTATGCTTCAAAAGTCATCATATATTTGTCATTAAATTCTAAACTCACTAGTTGTTTTTAAGTTTTTGCCTACATTTTAGACTAACCTTGCTTGTTCCTGTGAACCTACCAGCAATCTCCGGTTGCAATTCAGAAAGAACAAGAGGGATGGGTAATGTAAAACTCTGGATCAATATTCTAGTTCTGAGCAATTATCCTGCAAATCCTGCCAGGTGATGGGAATAAATAGGATGCCCATCACTAGGAGGTTTCCTTTTTGGGAAAGTCAGACCAAGGGAACTAACCAAAGCCATGCATGCAAATCCTAGCAAGCATAACTATAGCTACCAGTTATCTGGATGTGTTACAAGACATCCTTTTTTGTCCCTTGTTGGAGGAGGACTCAGTTCCACAGTTTCACCTTAGCATTCGGCTTATGATAAGGAGTTCATGCAAACCCCCAAGACACGTTTTTTTCCCAAAGTCAATTCGAAGCTTTGGGTCAAAGCCCTAGGAAAGAAAAGTAGATTGAGGGATCCCAAGGCAATGACAATAGAGGTTAAAAGGCACAGCACAGGTGAGTGTAGTTGATTCCTGCCGATTAAGCCAACCCCAAGCTTCCTGTTTCATGGATAAAGGCCACGTTAATATACGTGGGAAAAATGAGGTCTAGGGTACTCCAAAGCTACTGACAGTAGTGGGGATAGAGGCATAGGCAACAGCAGATAATTCCTATTCTCTAGGCTCTCCCTGCTTCATGGGTGCACACTGCTTTGGCACTCGTGGTGGGACCTGCCAAGGTCCCAGGACTCAGGGATGCAAGGATGGAAGAAGGAAAGAGGACGTTCTTCCCTCTCTCCCTCACATACCCCAGGTATCTGCTAGGAAGAGAAGGGAATCAGGGAAGCCTGTTCCTCTTTTTCTAGTGCGTAGCCATTCATCTTCAGTCTGTACCCCTTTAGAATTCCTCCTAAACCCCTGGGACTCTTTTGAACAAAATGCCTTTTTTTTCCTTTCTTCTCCTCTCCTCTCTTCACTGATAGGTAATTGTGTCTCTGTACTACAAGGCACTCCCCTTGGATGTATCCTCCAAACAGGAACCAGTTAATTTCCCAAACCTTAAACTGGTTGGTTTAGAATTGGGCTCAGGGGAAGGGAACCCAGAAGCCTGACATGCCAGCAAAAGGGTAAAGTTTTTCAACCAGTTGGGCTTTTGGCCTCCCTTTCCCTGGGCCAACTGGTAAAAGGCCTTGGAATTTTTGAGTTCTCCTTACCCCTCCCCTTGTTTCATTTTGATACGTGTTTTCTAATAACCCCATTTGTCTGTTCTTGCCTTCAGGCCATCAGACTCCAAACAGTCAGGCAACCGGAGTCTCTGACACTGGCCCCTTCTGCTGGGAACCCTTAAATAGGCCCTCCAGGGAGCTCTGACTGCCATTTATCCAAAATAGTGCCCCCGTCAGTAGGAAGTAGTTAAGATTGGTCTTTGCCCTTATTCTTAATCTAACTACAGTTAGATGTACTTCTTTAGAGGGGGAAATGAGACAGCCAAGGGGATCCCTGGAGAAACTTCAGCCAGCCTACCCCCTGGGGTGGAGCCTCGAGAAGTTCACACCATTTGCAGCAGGGAAGAGTCTGGCCCCTCCTTTTCCTGTGTGGAACCTGGGATTCCAATGGAGGGTGGGAAGCATTCCACCAGGGGACTCTGGCCTTGTGGGGGATCCCTGTTTCCCCCTTTTTACCCTATAAAATCCTGCTTTACTCACCCCTTAAACCATCTGCAAGCCTAAATTTTGTGGCCGTGGGATGGACAAGAACCCCATCTTTAGCTGAACTAAGGAAAGACCTGCAATAATATGACCTCACTCTTGTTCCTCAATCCCGTGGGTCCTGACTCTCTGGCAGTCTCTATTTGGAATTTTCCATCATCTCTTTCCTGTCTTGAATGTCAGAAACCCAATCCCCACTGCCACTCACATCATTTTGATTAGATTTTTCAAGTTATTGAATTTTTTTGCTTTTGTAGTTTGATGTTTTTAACCACATTGTCACCAATGATGCTCTTACTCCTTAGGAATCTTTAGTTTCTGTCCCCTCCAGTTCCCTCTTGATTCTATTCTGGGTTTCAGTCCCAAATTGCTACACAAAACTGGATAGTTGGAGTATAATATTTTATTCTCCACCTGGGGCTAAGTCACTTGCTGCATGCTCTTCTGCAGCTCCACATTGGTCCTCTGTTTTTTCTTGGATTTATTGCCTGAATCTGTTTGAGTTTGGTTTTTGGTAGTTCGTTTTTTAATTTATATCCCAACAATCATCTGTTTTTTTCCATAAACATAACTATGACTCCCAGTCACCAACTTACAGTTATTTGGTGCTTAGAAACCAGGAGACTTTGTGTTGAGCATCTAATATTCATTACCTCACTTAGTCCTTCTAAACTCAATACGAAATAGCTGTCAGTTGCTAATTCATAGTAGACTCCTAAATGTTTCTAGAATGAATAATTGAATGGATCTTTATTTTATAATGGAAGAATCTAGGGCTTAGGAAAACTTTGTCCTTTGCACAAGATCAGGAAGCTAATAATAATTTTACCTTTATTAGGTGTTTCCTAAGTGGCAAGTGCTATTCCAAGTGCTTTTATGGGGATTGGTTGTTGGGTGTGTGTGTGTGTGTGTGTGTGTGTGTGTGTGTGTGTGTGTGTTTCTTTTCTCATCATCCAATAAAGGGAAAACAAAATGCTTCTGTCCTCCTAGAAGAATAAAATAGAAACAAATGGCAGAAATTTCAGAGAGGCTGAATATTCAATGAAAGCAAAACTTAATATGAACCACTTCTTATCCTAATGATATTCTCCGTTCTCCGTGAGGAATATAGTCAAGCAAAGTCTCTGCAGTCATGCCCAAAGGGTTCTATGGGATGAATTCCAGCATATGAGGAGTTGAAAGAGTGGCAAATGTATTAGATTTAGTTGTGAAGTGTCTATGACAAGATACCTTGGGTAACATAAACCTAAACACAAAGACAGAGTTGATCGTGTATTTGGCTCTTCCTTGTTAATTAAGAAGGGATGGAACAGAAAACATGGATGGGAGAAATTTTGAATGAGTAGAAATTCAAGAGCAAAGTAAAGACTCAATTATTATTTTCACAACTTACTTTTCACTGTTGCCAAATATCTCACCATCCTAATTGCAGATATGTTCACAGAAAGTATTTTTTCCACTCAATTTCCTCAAGCATCTTGCATTAGTATATATAGAGACTCTGCTTTACTATGTCAGTGATTTCCTTAAGTCACACAATTTAATTACTTTAGTGATATACTCATCTTTGAACAGATATCTTATATTTATTAAAAACTTGCTATATGGTTTTCAGATCTTATAGTAATTTCCTGAATCAGAAAATATGATTTTTATAAAATAGAGTGAATTTGCTGAACCTGGATTGTAATGTGAAGACAAACTAATATCATTTTAAATATTTTTGCATGAATTCCTTAAAATGTACCAATTTTCACATTTATTTAGTTTGAGCAACACAAAAGATGATTACATGTAAATCCTTCACTATTTCCCCCAAGTGAGTTTCTAGAGATAAGTCTTCCCATCCAGGCCATAATTGCAAAAGGTATTTTATCCTGTCTTCAGCATGCCTGTTCTCTTTTGTCCTTAAGGCTTTTGTTGGAAAACCAATAGGAAAAATAAAGTCAAAGGACTGAAGTCATATTAAGTATTGTTAATAGTATGAAGCAAGATAATTAAAGGCACCAGGAAATTGTATCATACACTGAAATTCCAAAATGTAAAAGTAAGGCCGATTTTACATGGATTTGAGTTATGCATTCTAATATTTTACAGGTCAGGTCATATTCTCTCCAGAGAGATGCTATAATGTAATGTAATGGGTAATTGAAAGAATAGGGCTTTTGAAGTTGGAGAACATACTGTGTTCAAGTTCTCGCCTGCCACTTTCTACCTGAATGAACTTGAGCAACTCTATCTCAGACTACTTAATTCATCTGAAAAACGAGAAAAATTGTAATAATAACTACTTCACAGGGTTACTATATAAATAAATATAATAATATTTGAAAAGTGCCTTATATTTATTCAAGAAGCATGTACTGAAAATGTATTATGCACCAGTTACAAAAAATATACAGATAAATAGAGCAGTGGTTTGTAAAATTTAAAGCAATACACCCATTATGTAGCTTTCTTCAATGAAAGTTTTAATTAATACCTCAGTGACTAATATATAGTTTAGTCTCAGTAATTGACTGTAGTGTTTCAAAATAATCTTAATACATAGTATACTGAGATCACATTTGCCCAGATTTGAAAGGAAAATCAGGCATATAATTTCTATCCCCACTACTCACCTTCACACCCCTCACCTACTTTCAGTATGTGAAGTTCCTTCTTGGTCTTGCTATCCTTATGCTAAAACACAACTGTTTTGCTTCCCCAAATTATAGGGAGTTGGGGTGATGCTGCATTGTTTGCTTAATCTGGAATCAAATTGCACAATGATAAAAAAAGAAACTATCATTGTTTTGGATGTTAGAGAACAATCTGATGTTTGCATATCAACAGAGGAAACATCTCCAGTGCTTATGACAAATGTGTAAATCCAGCAATTTAGGAGTCTCTAACAAAACCATCAGGATACATTTGTTGTGAGATTGATTGTCCCTGTGTTTCTAGCTAATGTTATACTATGGGTGTTCCTAAATGGCTAAGAAATGTCATCTCAGAATGCTTGCTGTAATAAGCCCAAGGTGTGAATTATTAGACATCTTTCTTCAGTAGTCATTTTCATATGGTAATTAGAGATGTCAAACTCACCCTGTGTTTTGTTTTTCAAATTTAGGGAGCTCAGTATGCTGCATCTCTAGCCATTGTATTACCTAGCAATGACCTTAAAGCGAACTACTATGCAGAGAATGTGGCCTTAAGGTGCCCTAAGGGTCTCTGAGCAGGTTACAGAATTTGATGAGACACAGAGGATTGTAATTCTCTTATTTGCTGGAGGTAGTGATTTAGCCTGATAGCTTAAAAGCACAGATTTTTATTTCAGAAATCTTAGTTTGCACCCAGACTCTGCCACTTGTTTGCTGTGTGAACTTTACCAGCTTGTTTAACTTTCTAAGCCTTAGTTTTCTCAATTATTATCATAAAATAATGCTAGTACATATCTTAAGTGGTTGTAATGAATATTCAAAAACCTAAAACATTTAATGAAATTACTACCATCTATACTACTATATATTTCATAATCCCCAAATAAATGTAAACCATTGTTCTTTACAACAATATTAGAAGTATCTCACAGGCTTTGTGACATAACAGCACAGTTATCAGATTTAGGAACACATAGGAGGGTGCAGAAAACCAGAAAAACAAAACAAAAAACAAACCCAGTGATCAAAAGGAGGAGAAAAGGGAAACAAAACATTTTTAAAGTGCCCAATATCGAGCAGAAGTTTGGCGGACAACATCCCATTGAATTGAATTAAAATGTATTTTTAGTCCCAGCTACTCCGGAGGCTGAGGCAGGAGAATGGCATGAACCCAGGAGGCGGAGCTTGCAGTGAGCGGAGATCGCGCCACTGCACTCCATCTTGGGCGACAGAGCGAGACTCCATCTCAAAAAAAAAAAATGTATTTTTAAAAGAGTAATTATTATATAATTTACATTAACAGTTAAGAATCTGAGAAACAAATAAGTAATATGCCCACGATTACAGAGCTATTAAGTGGTAGTGCCAGAATTTAATCCTGTGTCTGACCTCACATCTTTTTTTTTTTTTTTCTCACAAGCCAACATTAAATATCAGGCACACTTAGATTAGCAATTCTGCAGATAATAAATATCCAAGGCAAATAGCAAAGCATATTGGATCATGGAAGTGACCTGATTGGAAGTGAGCCCAGTGATAAGTCTCTGTTATTCCAAAACAAACAATTTTTCACAGGAGATCCTTGGGAACCTCCTACCAGAGCAAGAATTAATTTTACAACATGATTTTCTGGGTCTCAGTTTACCAATATGTATGTACAAACGACCACAGACATCCAGGTCAGGAATCAGGAGTGGTGGTGGCAGAGCACAGGAAGTGGATTACCAGGGACATTTGGACTGTCTCAACATCCATGAAAGTGATGAAAAAATAGGCACTATGGGAGCTAATTTAATGTGTCAACTTGACTAGACTAGGAAATTGTCCAGGTAGTTGGTAAAACAGTACTTTGAGGTGTGTCTGTAAGGGGATTTCTGGAAGAGATCAGCATTTGACTCTTTAGATTGAGTAGATAATCCATCCTCACATCAAAGTGGGCAGCATAATCCAATTTGTTGAAAACCCAGAAAGAAGGAAAAGGCAGAGGAAAGGAAAATTCTCTTTCTCTCTTTTTGAGCTGGAACAACCATCTTCTGTGGCTCTGAAACCTCACAACTTCAGGTTCCCAGGCCTTCAGCTTCAGACTGAGTTAAACAGCAGGATTTTCTGTTTCTCCAGCTTGGAAAGGCAGATTATGGGAGGGACTTCCTGGCTGTCATAATCATATGAGCCAATTCCCATAATTAATCTTATCTATCTATCTATAGCCTGTATTTCCTATTATAGTAGATGTCTTCCTCAAACTAATGCCAATTTTTATAGAACTCTAAAAGACTGATATTAGTGTTTCCATTTTATAGAACTAAAACGTAAGGCTATAAAGGATACTATAATTTTCCCAAGGTCATACAATAAATGATGGTAGGGAAATAATTTTATATTAAAAATTAAAAAGGGTGCTTGGCTATGAGACAGGTACATGAATCTTGTTTGTGACTAAGATGTGGTGAAACTGTTAGGGGCTGAAAATATCCAAGTTACTGGCAGCAAATTTGTATGGGTCTGCAGCAACCTCAATTCTTGCCTCCTCAGAAGAAAGAATTCGACTGAGGGGCATAAGGCAGAAAAGGAGACCAAGGGAACTTTCAGAGCAGGAGTAGAAGTTTATTAAATTGCTTTATAGCATTAAAGAAAAGGAAGTACACTTGGAAGAGATGCAAATGGAGGTCTCTTGACTTGGCGGTCAAGTGCCCCATTTAACCTTGAACCTAGGACTTTATATAGTAGCCTACTTTCAGAGTCTTGCCCCACTTTCCCTTCATTCTTCCTTTAGATTGAGCTGCCCGGATGTGGGGTGCCTTGCTTGTGCTTGGGAGGTGAGCATGTGCAGTGTGTTTAAGAAGTTGCATGCATACCCACCTGGAGCTTTTTTCCCTTTTCCAGTGGAATGCCCCCAGAAGGTCATACTCCACCATTTTGTCTCTAATGTGCATGCACGAGCCCACTCTCCCAATTCTTGAGATTTTATTATGATTATTATTATTATTTTTTAAATGGAGTCTCACCTTTTTGCCCAGGCTGGAGTGCAATGGCATGATCTCGGCTCGTTGCAACCTCCGCCTCCCACGTTCAAATGATTCTCCTGCCTCAGCCTCCAGAGTAGCTGGGATTACAGGTACCTGCCACCACACCCAGCGAATTTTTATACTTTTAGTAGAGACAGGGTTTCACCATGTTGGCCAGGCTAGTCGGAACTCCTAACCTTGTGACCCGCCTGCCTTGGCCTCCCAAAGTGCTGGGATTACAGGTGTGAGCCACCGTGCCTGGCCTATTCCTGAGATTTTATTGGAAGCTTCTGATTACCAATTTCTGTATCTATTGGGAAACTGCTTCTCCCTGGTGCTGGCTGTGACCAGTTATCATTTTAGAGAGGCAGTGCAACAACCGCCACACCATCACCTGGTGGTTGCCTGACATTCCTGGTGGATGGGGGGAGCCCTCTTCTGTCCCCTTCATGCCTGACTAGTTACCTACTGTTAACAAAACCTCCACCAGATAATTTTACCTTTCAATATACAGCAGCATGATGTAAAGAAGAAACACTGGACACTGAGTCATAATAGTTTGTCTTTAGTTTTGGCTTTATGTTATAAAGTGTAGCCTTGAACACCTCATTTAATTAAACTATTTGACCTTCAGTATACTCAGTTGTAAAATATGAGTATAATATTTCCCCTGCCTATTTCACTGGGCAGTAATAGGACGGTAATGAAATCGTGAATTGGCACTACATAAATTTAAAGATAATATGCAAATGTGACATTATTTTTGCCTATCTTCCTGGAGCTACATTTAAATAAAATGGGTTAATACCTATGAAAATGCCATTCTATTATAATGGAAAATCAAGAATCATTAATGATAAGTGTAACCATTCCTGGGGTCGTACAGCTGTTTGAATATTAATATGGAAAGGTGATTGTTGTGTTTTTCTTTCTTATTAATGATTCAATAATTAACATGTAATTATTATGAATTCTGTTTTTGTCATAAAGAAAACAAATCTCGGTGACAGCTGACTTGATGAAGGTCATTCAGTTAGTTAATGATACTGGGATTAGAATTCAGGTTCTGTTCTTTAAAACCTTATGCCTTTTCTCTCCTTTTCTTATATAAAAACGTGTAATTTTATGTCTCATAGAACAATACACAAAAGTTAATTTCATTTCTTCTTCAGAGTATTTGCATTTTAAAAGTCATCTTTCAACCTAATACTTTACAAAAGACACTAATTCAGTTTTCCCAATTCTCTGGTGAGTTATATAGAAAGGTTTAGTTGTTGTTGTCTATGTTTTCTGTTTTGGTAGACCTTATTTCTGCTTCTGGATACTTCTTCCTAAGCCCTGAGATGAGTCCCTTTATTGACTTCCCTCCTTTCTTTGATCTTCCAAACATTTTCCAGATCCCAGGGGCCTCTTTTCCTGGTCCTCTGGCTAGTTAGCCAGAACATTGTTCTTGCTACTTTGCTGTGTGGTTCCTGAGCTTAGTCAAATTTGGCTCCATGTTTAAGTGGCAGGAGTAAAGAGAGAGGGAAAAAGAGAACAGAGATTTCCTTACCTCCAGACTTTCTGGAACTTAAGCCTTTCCTAAGGCATTTTGCCTATATACTAGTATTTCACTTACCACCATTTACCTTCAGAGATGCTAACACTTGTTCAAATTGCAAAATACCAAAATAAAGCTGTACTAGATACTCAAATACTGTACTGAAAGAGTGTAAATATTTTAGAAGAGTAATTTTGAACCAGAACTGTGGATGAAAAAGCCTCTATAAATCAAAATTATTTTGTTCTCTGGTTGAGGTTGGTTATTGTAGCCTAGAGCACAGAGGATTGTTATTTTGAAATGAATTGAATATTTATGAAAATATATTCTACCCTTTTAACTAGAATAAAGAGTTTTATTGTCAACTATACCAGTAGAAAATAACAAAGCCTTAAGAAGATACATCACACACACACACACACACACACACACACACACCACGCACACACACAGGCTGTTTCTAAGATATAAAAATTATCATAGAATTATTATTTAAGAAACCTTTTTTATAAATACAAGTTAATTAAACATGTTGAAATTGAAGATGTCCTACCACTTTGTTTTCTTCTTTGGTAAACAGATAACAGTGATTGTTTATGTCCAATTGAAATCAATTCTCACTTGACAACCATAAAATTGTAACTTCCACTATAAAGGCAAATAATTTGATATTCACATCTCAAAAATAATGAATGTTATACATCGTTTTCAGCTGACTGGTGAATCAACAAGATTCCATCTCGTACCTTGAAGAAGATAGCTTTTGGCTTGGTGATAAATGGCATCCTTAAAGAAAAAAATTCATTCCTAACTTTAGAAACACAACTATTTCTCCCTGACTTACACTTTCTGTGTGGACTTCAACAATGAATAACTTATTTTATATTCTTTAGAAGTACAGTAATTAGAGATAATTAGATAATTAAGAATAAAGATGATCTGATAGGTAGGTAGGTAGGTTGATATAAAGTTCAATAAATGCCACCCCACAATACAATGCTCTAGTTTGATTACTTGGAACCGAAGGAACTTGGGAAACAAAGGATACAGGCAGAGGCTTTCTCTGAACTTGCCTTATCTGCCTACAAAAGGAACTCAGTTGTCATGAATCCCTTCCCCAGGAATTTAATGAAATAGGAGGGATTAACCCAGATCATAGGGGAAACTAGAGGTTAGGATCACACCCATACAAACTTTGTGACAGGCCACCATCTGTTCTTATGAGGGCCTGTTCATCTTGCCCCAAAATCATTTACTCTCTCCTATGTTGCCTCCATCTCTGCTCTCACTTCCCTGTGAAGATCTCACTAGGGTTTGGAGTATTCACTTTTCTTTCATGTGATGTCCCCATGCAGGTAATAACTTTGCACACCTTAACACCTGTTAATCTGCCTAGTGTCAGTTTATTTCCTAGACACAATTATTGAACACTGAGAGGGTAGAAAGTTTGCCCTTCCCTAAGTTGGATAGATAGATACTAGATAGATAGATTTGGTTTTGCTGGTCCTGCTCAGCACTAACTTGGGAAAACTTAGTGCTATAATTGGTGACTGAAATGGAAATATTCGTGGAAGAATCATATGTATCATACAGAGAAAAGAATAAAAGCTCTTAGCAAATTTGAGATCTACATATTATTAAAAATAATAATTCACTAAACAATGTGCTTTTTCTAAATAAAATTGAACTGACATGTTTGCTTAATCACAATTGCAGGGCGATATTATTAACCATTCACATTTTATATGCCTACTAAATCAAGTTCAGAACGGTCAGGTGCTTTTGTCCAACAGTACACAAAAAGAACTTATGAATGACAGGATTCCGAAGCATGTTTAATTGACTCCAAGCCCTGAGGCCCTTTGTATTGAGTAGCATGATGCAAGATTTAGAAGGGAGAGAAATCCTGGAGAGTTGAAAAGTTAAGATAAAAATTAATGTAAGAGCGAAAAGAATTCAGACACATTGAAACAATGTGGGATTATGGAAAGCACAGTGGAAGATCTAGAAAGATGAGCCTAAGATGATCTAGACAGTCAGAATGTGAGCTTGTCTTTAAAAAGACAGTTGCAAGTGCATCCACCTGATTAAAGTTTCAGTGTGACTGATTTACAATTACAACAAAACATAACACAACTTTGTTATAGGTGATTTTCTAAATAGTTGAGTAGTAGAAAGAAATGGTGACATTTTTATCTGCCTCTCTACCAGATACACTGGAAATGTTTCTCCTTTCATTAATTACGTGATAAGAGAGAGGATAAAAATATAGGTATTGATCATATGCTTTGGGTAAAAATGATCACTATAGCAAAAGTCTCTCCCTAAAACATAAACCAATTGATCACATTGTCTCAATTTTCCTATTATTTCTTCCTTTCTTAAAAAATGTTGAAGGTCATCTCTAAACTGGGTTCTAAATAATCCTTCTGCTTAGCATTTAAAGTTCTCAATTTTTCTCCAGCATTTTTTAATATCTTAGCTTTAAATAAGCTTTCTAACATTCTACTCTTTAGCTTCTCCACTCAAAAAAATTAAAAAGGTCCCTGGGCTCTTCATATTATGGTTAATTACAATGTTGCATGAGATAATTCTTGAACACACATCTTAGCAGCTTACCACCATTTCCTATTACTGACTCATCATAGCTAAGGTCTCTAGAAGGCTTTCTAGTCTCCAAGCAGCACCATCCAGTGCATTTTGCTTGTCTCTGATCTTTTAGCAATTCTTTACGTCTCTCAGTTTTGCCCAAGGAAAGTTTGTCTTTGAATTTAACTCCTAAATACATTTTAGACCTATTGGCATCTAAGTTACAATGACTTATGCTATATCATCTATTTTTTATTTACATTTCTTTGTAGTATTCATATGCATTTAATTTAACTTGCTTTAAATCATGCTTAATTATTTGCGATAAATTTTGGTAATGCCACTTGTAAAAAATTTAAGTTCAACAATTCTTAATAATTGCATATTGTGCGGAAAGCACAGTCTAAAGCTCCACCCAAATTTTTTATGGCTTTCCCAATCTCTCCTGCACACACTGGCCTTTCTCTTATCTTAATTACTACAGACTGTACTCACATCACATCATATTCTCTAAGATATTTTCTACGTATAATGGCTCACAATTGTAGCTACAACTATGCTGGGGAAACCTGGCTTTGGTAAAATTAACATCCTATGCTTTTATCCGAAGCGTAAAATTTATGTTTTGGTTACTTAGTACTGTAAATGGTTGTCAAATATGAAATATACATATTTTCAAGAAGTATAATATGACTTCTGATTTATATAAAAATTGAAAACAAAAAAAGCTAAGCTATAAAATATATTTCATAGGTAAAAATAAGAAATCTGCTTTTCAGATAGCTTCTTTTAGAGCCTGTAACCACATTTATCTAAACTATTATACCCTGCATGCCCAATACACTGCACAAATGGACCAATAGCAAGCAAACTATTGACCTTCCCTCATCCCAAAGATTTGGCCCTCATCTTAAAAGCAGCTATAAATCCTCACATTTCCCCATGCTGCTCATCACTAGTTTGCAGAATCAGCATTCTGGCCCATGCTGACTATATGTCCAGAAATAATGCATTCCCAAAGCAATATTCTCCATTACGCTGAGTCAGCATGCTGAAGGACAAGCAACACAAAGATATGTCTTTAAGTGTTGTGGGTCTGAGCCAGGGCTTGTCAGTGGAGATGAGTATTCGATATGTATACGAATAACATACAGGTTGCATGAATCTTTTAATCTAACACTAGTCACATACGTGTAAATGCCTGTAGTTTTTGCTTCATTAGATAACATGTTAGTTTCTGTCTATGAAAGATGAAAAACCTGAAGTCATTTTTATAAATCTCCAAATCTGATGTCTTACTATGCTTATAAGATTTGACAAGATGATCTATGATGATTTGACATATTTAAATCAACATGACCCGGTGATGCTATCATATTGTTAAAACATATATTCTAATTTATCATGCCTACTTCAGAAATATAATGGCTATTGATTGATAAGGCACTCATTGGAACTTTTAAGAACTGGTAATGCAATCTATGTTTATCTAGAGTCATGGTTATGAAGAAAATAATCCCTAGATGGCTGAAGCTAACAGCTTTGGAATTATCTGTGAGCTCTATCTATTCCAGGTTGCTATCATTATAAAAAAGCAAGTTAAAAAGGCATTATCATCAGATATTCATCTTATAATCTTGGCTTCACATCTCAGCTCCTTAAATTCATATTGAGTATCTTTGACTCTGCTGCTGTCTCTAATTCCATCCTCTGAATGAAAAGAAAGCATTCCTTCAGAGACAATTTTGATAATCATCCTCCTTCTACATGCATTTATATTTGTGAGAGCACCCACATTTCATCACAACTCTACATTATTTATTTCAGTTGGATCTTTCTTGAAAGAAGGAAAAGTGGAACAATCAACAGTGATGGAAAGGAAACACTGCTATGTTAAAGGTAGGTATCATTATTCACCTGAGAAATGTAAATTAAAACTAAAGTGAAGTACCACTACCTACCCATAAAGTTGGCTACAATTAATGAGACTGACATTAGCAAATATGTGGGGCAATGGGAACTCTTGGTTGGTGAGGGTGTTAACGGACCCACATTTTCAAAAACTGTTTGGCAATATTTACAAAAGTTAAATACACCCTAAGATCTAGCATTTCTATCTTTAGGTATATGTCTAAGAGGAATAAGTGTATATATTACCAAAAAGCAAGCATAAGTATGTTCATGACAGTTATATTCATAATAACCCAAAAGTAAAAGCAACCCAAATATCCATCAATGGAACATGAATACATATGTTGTGGTTTATTCTTATAACAGGATACTATAAAGTAACAAAAAGAAAAAAAAATTTATATTTGCATCCACACGGATGAATTTTACAGTCATCATATCAGGCAAAAGGGCAAAAGCTTTATGCCAAAGAATACTTATCATATAATCCCACTTCTACAAAATGTGAGAGTAGGCAAAACTGATGGTGATAAGAAGAATAGTTAGCATGGAGTGGTGAAGTAAACTTTTGGGGTCATATATATGATTTACATTTGGATGTTGGAGGTGGTTATATGAGCATATACATGTGTAAAAATTTATTAATCTGTATACCTAACAATTGTGAGCTTGGTGCATCAGGCTAAATATATTTTAAGCCATAATTTTAGACAGTAAACACTAATAAAAATATACCAGAAAATTAGAGTATACTTTTCTCATTTCTGAGAGTCAGTCCTGTGGCAATCTACCATGTTGATGAGCCTGGCAGCTAATATGTGTCTGCAAATGTTATTACTTTGAATGAAAATAATCATGATTCCAAATTAACATTTTTCTATGGCATAAGGTAGGATTCAAGGTTGATTTCATTAGCCAAGGTCTGTTTTCTGGCTTCAGTACAGCAGATGGGGGAGTAGGTCTTTCAGTTCTTGTCTTAGTCTGTTTTCTGTTGCTTATAACTGATTACCTGAAACTAGGTAATTTATAAAGGAAAGTAATTCATTTCTTATAGTTATGGAGGCTAGGAAGTTCAAGGTCAAGAGGGCACATCTCGTGAGAGCCTTCTTGCCAATGAGGACTCTATGGCCTTCTGAGGTGGCGTTCAGCATCACATGGCCAGGGACCTGAGCATGCTAACATGCTAGCTGAGGAATCTTTTCTCCTTTTAAAACCACCAGTTCCTCTCTCATGATAGCCCATTCATCCATTTACCCATTAATTCATTAATCTGCAAATAGGTTATTCCATTCATGAGGGCAGAGCCTTCTATGACCCAGTTCTCTTTTAAAGCTTCCATGTCTGAATATATGGCCACATTGGGGATTCAATTTCAGTGTAAGTTTTGAGGATGGGGACATTCAGACTATAGCTGTCCTCAGGGGGGAATCTGAGCAGCACAGCATCCACTAAAATAGGAAAAAATTGAACACAATGTTCCTCAAAGGAGCCTACAAACAAGAACTTCAAGCAGTGAAATACAGAATAAACACAATACAGAAAGTGAAACAGTTTGAGTTACTAAATTGTATTTAGAAGTTGACATATGACTCCATTCCCCTTTCCATTTATAATAATAAAATTTAAACTGGCTACAGGCCCCACCTTATTTATCAAAATAAGCATTTATTGATGGTTTTTTAAAAGAAGACTTAACAGTCAATGTATAAATCCTATATTTACAAAAGAAACATTTGTCTTTGAATCAAGCAAATTTGATTTATAAATTCAGTTTCTGCAAAGCTTTCTAAGAGATTGTTTTAGCCGTTTTTGTGTTTTCACTCTGCATAATGAAAACTGCCGTGCTGCAGTGCCAACAGTAAAAATGCATTGAATGATCATGTAAAATATCTTCAGTTCTTCTGGAAACTATATATATGCATTGAAATTTCTAAAGAATGGCTTTTATCATAAATAGTCTAAACATATACCATTCTTGGTAATAATTCAACTCTTACATTTAATCTCACTTTTAGAAAACGTTGACATTTACAACTATAATTACAATCACACGGCCAGGGCATTAAATTAACCTGATATTAAAGATCAGAGTAATTTCTAGAAATTTAAAGGAAATAACTTCAAAAGATATGAGGATACGCTTTTAGTGTTTTTAATGTTTAAGATCTGAAAATGGTTAAATCCACAGTGTTCTATGACATCAAAATAAATAAACAAACAAAAAAAACATACATGAACTTATGATCAATGAAGGATCACCAAATATTTGAGAACTGAAAACTAGGCTGGGCCAGAGTAATTATTCTCCCTTTGTGCATCCACACTTTTCTCAGTGGAAGGACCGTAGAATGTGGAATTTCTAACTTAAAAATAACCACATGTAGTAAAAATAGAAAAGTAAATTCTAGTAAATTTGAGAATTCTAGTAAAATTTAAGAAGTAACACATCACTTTCTCAGTGAGGCTTTTCCTAAGCATGCTATAGAAAATATCAAAACTCCATGCCCCCCTGCCATCCTCCGCACCTGGCATGCCCCATAATTTTTAAATATCTTTGTTTACTTTATCATATATTTATTAATTTTCCCAATTCTAGCTCTTTCCACTAGAATGTAAGCTCCATGGGCAGGGGCTTTTTCTAGGTTTGGATTTTATTCATTTCCACCTTTATTTCTCTTAGCAAAAATGCTTGAGATACTGAGCTCTAACAATGCCATTTAAAACAAGCCTTGCTTCCCTAAACCCTATAGGGCAGTATTTCTCAACCTCTGCATTATCGACGTTTGAGGCTGGAAAATTCTTTGTGTGAGGAGCTGTTTTGTGCCTTGTGGGATGTTTCATAGCCTCTATAGCTTCTACCCACTAAATGCCAGTAGCCTCTTCCTTCCAGTGGGGTGACAACAAAAATGTCTCCAGACATAGCCAAATGTCTTCTTGGGAGCAAAGTCACCCCAGTCATAGACACTGCTATAGGAAATTTGGTAACATCATTTTAGTTGATGATAAGAAAGTTCTCCACACCTGGATTCTGAAGCAGTTAAGAGAGAGAAAAAAAATAAATTAAAGGGTGAAATCACACAAAGATCAAATATAGAATGCAACTTGGATCGGCAGGCAAGTTGCTTATTCTTGGCTCAAGGATTAACCACATTTACCTACCCTGATACAAGCAGTCCTGGTAAGTGCAGGCCTCTACTCCCTGGGGCAAACCTGCCCTGCTCAGATTACCATATGGATTATTGCAGGCCCAAGAGATAGATGAGGACACAACCCCCCTAAGTAGGTTGGCAGATCCAAGGAGGCATCCAGAAAGGCAGATTCACGCAGGCTTAATTGCTTTGGCCTCCTGAAGAAATAAGGAATGGGAGAGGTCAAGGCTCCACTCCATGTGCCAAGGGTACTTTCATCCCTGCAGTTCTACTCTCCACTCACTCCAACTTGTCCCATGTTCCTACAGGCCAACCTCTACAAAACATACCACCTGTAGTCCCAGCTACTCAGGAGGCTGAGGCAGGAGAATGGCAAGAACCCGGGAGGTGGAGCTTGCAGTGAGCCGAGACCGCGCCACTGCATTCTACCCTGGGCGACAGGGCAAGACTCCATCTCAAAAAATAAATAAATAAATACCAGCTGAGCTCCTTGGCCCTCTAGATGTCAGTTGAGTTCATCCAGAGGATGACATCAGTAGGGGTAGGAGAACAGGAAGAGTATCATGAGAGTATTTGTTTCTATAGCTGCTTTTCAGTTGGGTTGTATTCCTTTGCATAGGGCCATAGCTTGTGCTGGGCAGCCTTTCCATGTGCCACAGCTGCAGACCCCTCTGGCTTCTTCTGGTAACATTCCTTCCAATTGGATCTTGAGACCTAGAGGTTGTGTGGGTTTTTCACTGGTCTTAGCCATGGGGAGATTCACTATCCTTTGTTGGTTTCATTTAACCATGCCCATCTCTTCCTCAAACTCTATTCTTGTACTCACCTCCTTTTAAAACTCTTGTATTTAGGAAGATTTTCAAAATCATAAAACATTTAAAAATTGATACAGAGATATCCTATTCCTTTATCTTAATTCAGCAATTTTAACATTTGACGTATGTTTTCATTATTTTATTTCTCTCTTCATACTTATCTATGAATAATACATAATTATGAAATTACATTTTATAAACGGTTTCCTCAAAATACTTGAGTGTGTTTTTTATATCAAATAGATTATTTCACATAATCATGATATAGTTATTAAAATCAGGAAAGTTACTTATTGCTACATTGATCTATAGTCCACATTAAAAAATTTATTTTTCAAATTTTCCAATAATGTCTTTATGGTATTTTTGTTTTTACTCTAGTACAGGTTCTCATCCAAAATTATGTATGGGATTTAGTTGTCGTGTTCCAAACACTACTTTTAAACACACTGTTTTCTGATGAGACCATGAATAATATAGTCTATGTTGAAATATGAAAATTGATGAATAAATGACCCCAGTAGTCATAATTAGAATTATGAGAATGAAAGTTTTTGATATTTCCTTTTAAGCTGCACACCATTGTCTCAAAAAAGAGTGTCCTATTTACTTACTGTTCATTAAGTTTCTGCTCCATACAGACCCATGTCTGTAATAGGTTCTAAGGATTACAGTTTTGGAAGAGGAAGACATCAAATAAATACACAAACATAATCATTTGTCCTAAGAATTCTAAGTTTAGCAGATGTGAGGGATTTGTTTTTCTTTCTTTCCCTCTGACAACAAAGGAGTGAACGTAACTAGGACTTACAAATTTAAAATATCATTGAAAAAGAGATAAAAATACTTCTATAGATTTCTGCTATTTCACAAACCTTGCTGGTGGCAGACATCAGAAATTAATCACGGGATATTTCTATTAAATCCAGTTGCCGTCTCAGAAACTGAGAAACTCATATGACCATAAACAAAGCAGTAATTATCAACCGATCAAAGCAGACCTCCACAATGGAATTATTTTTCCTATTTCTAATCTAGGAATAAGCAATATGTTTTGAAAATAATTTGAAGGACCCAGATATGAATGAGGGGATGGACACCAGCCAGGTCAGCCTGTAGCCAATGCAAAATAGTCAACCAAAGCAAGAATACCAGCCGAGCTCCTATGGTACTCCTATGAGTCCTAAGAACTATGAGCAGACACCATTTTATTCAATTGCCAGACAGCTTAAGATATTGTGTCTCTCATTTTGAGGAGCACAGTTATCAGAAGCAAAACCAAAAGTAACCGTCTATCAAAAGATTATTTTTACACCCTGGCTCTGAAGTGGTATCTGAACTTGCAGAGGTGCATTTGTTAGCCTTGAGAGAACATGATAATGACCTAGTCTGAGTTACCAGACGTAACTACAGAGTAGATAAAAGACAGCCATAGATACATACATACAGAGTAGATAAAAGACAGAGAGTTTGCAAAAGACCAACTCAAATTAGAGATGTAGGCCGGGCATGGTGGCTTACACCTGTAATCCCAGTAGTTTAGGAGGCCAAGGTGGGTGGATCATTTGGGGTCAGGAGTTCAAGACCAGCCTGGCCAACATGGTGAAACCCCGCCTCTACTAAAAATACAAAAATTAGACTATGGTGTGGTGGTGGGCACCTGTAGTACCAGCTGCTTGGGAGGCTGAGGCAGGAGAATCGCTTGAACTCAGGAAGTGGAGGTTGCAGTGAGCTGAGATTGCGCCACTGCACTCCAGCCTGGGTGACAGAACGAGATTCCATCTCAAAAAAAAAAAATTAGAGATGTAAATAAAACAAGAATTACCATGCTAAGAACACAAAACAGAACCCTAAGCCATTTCATTCAGCTGAAACTGGCAAAGACACTAAGGGAGTCCGTAATAGTAATTATAGTAATAGCCATGGTGAAGAATCTGTAGTACTCCAAACTACCAATGAGCTTAATGTGAAAGCAAATAATTTGATTTTTTATTTGTTTGTTTTTTGCTTGCTTTTTGTTTTGTTTTGTTTTGTTTTGGCCCCTGTCAACAGATCAAAGGCTGCTTAACATTCCAGAGGTGATAAACAGGGACAAACACAAAGAGATCTGGCATTTCCCCGAGAGATGGCTTCTATTCCGTTAAGGCATACTGTATATGAGTGAACAGAAGGAGAATATTATTATAGGCTTTGCCTCAGGGCACTCAAATGAAAATCACATTTCACTACGTGATTGCATTTACAACACACAAAACAAGGGAAAAGAATGTGACTGGCTGCGCGTTTTGCTACATGTGACTTTCTTGTCCTCAAGTTAAATCTGACAAAATCATGCAAACTTCTTACTTCCCACTTAGAAAACAAACGTGAATTTTATGTTTATATTTACATAAATACTATATATTATATATTATATGTACAGTATATATATTTATATATTTTATGTATATATGTATACACACACACACACGGAGACAGAGAGAGAGTATATATATTCCTGAGTTTAAAATAGAAACAACAGAAACAAAAAGGAAAATTTTCTGAGACAAAAGCATAAGCACTTTCCCAGTGAAAGATGGTTTAATTCTAATAAGACAGACAGTAGGTAGTCTTTGGAATCTGAGCATTTACTCCTCTATGAAAAAGCACATATAGCAAGATACAAGCTTACACATAGCTGGCTGTGGATACTGGCAATGTAGGGGAGTCGACACAACAAAATTTTAACTTCCTACTTAAGTTGCTGAAGTCCTGACACTTAATAATAAAAAAAAAAAATATATATATATATATATATGTAGAAGAACCTTCATAGAAGAAAGGAAGAAAGTGAGTAAGTAGGTACTGGTGTCCTCAGAAATGTAAAAGTGGTAACTATTAGGAGTAAAAAAAAGAGGGCAACCAGGTGAAATTTCACCCTCTTCACGATATTACTGACCTTTCTCTCTTGACTGTATAATGTAATAAAACTAGTTAATTCCTAGGTTTTACACTTTGAATATGGAAATTGACTTGAATTCTGAGTCCTCTTCCTTTCCAAGATTAGCACCATGGGGAAAATAATGCCTAAGTGAAATTGTCATAGAAAATGGTTTATTACATTTTTATTACATTTTTTTTCTCCTATTTTTCTTTCATATCCTTCTCCTCCTCCTCCTTCTTCTATGAGAATTGATTGGATACATACATTTCAAAAAAAATAGTTTGTTTTAGGACTTAGTGAGTCATCTTGGAATAAGAGATACTTCCTAGAGGAGAGGTTGGTCCCTTTTCCCAGAAAGGGCTGGATTGCGAATAATTTAGGCTTTGCTAACCTTAAGGCTTCTGTTGTAACAACTCAACTCTGATGTCGAATTATAAACAATATGTAAATAAATGTACGGCTGTGTTCCAATATATATTTCTTTAATGACATTAAAATTTAATGTGTGATTGTATGATAATACATCAAAAGATATAATTAAATAAATAACATTTTATTTTATTTTCATGGGCACAAATTATTATTGTTTTGACTTTTTATCACCCATTGAAAAACTGTAAGAACAATTCTTAGCCCATAGCCTATACAAGAACATTTGGCAGGCCACACTTTGCCCATAAGCAATAGTTTATCATACCCTGGTCTGGCCCAGATTAAAAAACTGTCTGTACCATCACCTGTCACTTCTATGATCTTAGTCAAGTTAGTTAGCCTTTCAAATTTTCTCATATGCAAAATAGAGTCCATTGTTTTATTGACCCTGGCTAGGTCTTGGGTTGTTTTGAGAATTAAAGTTGTTAATACGCCCTGCTGTGGCTCACGCCTGTAATCCTAGCACTTTGGGAAGCCGAGGCAGGCGGATCACAAGGTCAAGAAATCGAGACCATCCTGGCCAACATGGTGAAACCCCGTCTCTACTAAAAATACAAAAATTAGCCAGGAATGATGGCGGGTGCCTATAGTCCCAGATACTCAGGAGGCTGAGGCAGGAGAATCACTTGAATCCGGGAGGCGGAGGTTGCAGTGAGCCGAAATTGCCCCACCGTACTCCAGCCTGGCCACAGAGCGAGACTCCATCTCAAAAAAAAGTGTTAATACATTCAAAATACTAAACACTGCTTTCATATAGCAAGCGCTTAATAAATGCTATTATTATTAATAAAGTTATATATTTGTTTACTTCCATGTACTTTATTCAATTTGCCCCTATTAGTAATTTATGAAACAAATCACATCAGAAATTACTTCAACCTAAATTGCATAAACTTGTCTGGACTTACAAAGAAAGATGGAGGCTGGGCGCGGTGGCTCACACCTGTAATCCCAGCAGTTTGGGAGGCCGAGGCGGGTGGATCACAACATCAGGAGATAGAGACCATCCTGGCTAACACGGTGAAACCCCATCTCTACTAAAAATACAAAAAAATTAGCCAGGCATGGTGACAGGCGCCTGTGGTCCCCGCTACTCAGGAAGCTGAGGTAGGAGAATGGCTTGAACCCAAGAGGCAGAGGTTGCAGTGAACCGAGATCACATCACTGCACTCCAGCCTGGGTGACAGAGTGAGACTCCGTCCCAAAAAAAAAAAAAAGTTGGATTATATTCTAATTTGTTTTGAGTAATTCAGAATACCGTAAAGATGAAAGGAAAAGATGTGAGAGAGCAAGAGAGAGTTATCATTGATAACTAATATTTCTCATGATTGGTGCCAAGTGCCTTCTGTATTTTTTTAACTTAATGTTTATTATATCTGAGAGAGTAAATAATTGGATGAATATCGCATTGCTAAACTAGTATTTGGCAAATCAAGGCAAAAAGTTAGGTGTGTTTGATTTCAGAGGTACAGCTCTTTCAGTCACTACTGTGAAAGCGGATAATACAAATGGGTAATTCTTGTCATCCCCAACTAAAATGGAGTCAAGAGGTCAGAATGAAAAAGCACTTGGGGCACATAACATTGCTCAAAAAATATAATCCTCTGCAAGCCTGGCTGCTGAATCTGCCTGTTGTAACCTCAAACCAGATTTATCTAATGGTTACTGAAACAACCTGCTGCAACTCTAAGACTACTTTTACCTGCCTCTATCAACTCACCAATGAGAGCCTGCCAGCTTGCTAAAACTTTACCAGTGTCAATGAACTTTCTTGAGGAGCAATACATAATATTTCTCCTTTTTATGAAACCTCTGACCTTTTTGTTCTCTGAACATACCAAAGACCAACTGATACGTTTGTATGCCTTAAATTGCAATCCTTTCTTCCCAGATAAAATGTTTTGTTTTATTTTGTTTGGTTAAGAGATAGTCTTGATCTTTGCCTAGGCTAGACTCAAACTTGTGGACTCAAGTGATCCTCTCGCCTCAGCCTCCCTGTTAGTTGAGAATATAGGCAGGCACCACTGTGCCCAACTAGACGTTTTAATTTCAGACATTTCTCTTTATATTTTATTTGACTTGGACATACAGGGTGCCAGAAGTGGGGTTCCAAAGCTGACTCACTTCAGAGAAAATCACTGGCCCCTGGAACTGTGGTGTGAGGTATGCACACTATAACCATTTGTGCCCCTCAATTTTGTGGGTCACTTTTTCCCTTGATGAGTCTCCCTTGCAGTGAACTCTAAATTTGATAGAGTATTTTTGTATTTGGGACTTGGGTGGGGATGGATCTTTTTCCTTCCTGTCTGCTTCAGTTGAGAGATTTCCCATTCATGAGGATCTTTCTCCTGGCAGACCCGGACTGTGCGAAGGGACTTTTCCCTTTGGGTTGAGGCATAAGTGATGAGATTTTTTTCCCCCTTCAGTTGGAGAAAGTGGCTTATCATACTTTTTGGTAACCACATACTTTATTTTCTGTGTGTGCTTACATTATTTGACCTTTATGTATTTAGCAGTTGCATTTAATTGGCCCTCAAAGTTTAAAAGCATGCTAAGATATTTTCTGGGACTCCAGCTAGTAACATGTTCATACATTATACGGATCATTCAAAGAGTCCATTTTTCTTAACACTAAATTAAAAGACTGTGGCTCAAAAAATCATACACTCAAAATAAGACATTCATATCTCATTGCTATCTTCAGGCAAAACAAAGAAACAAACACACAAAAAGCATTCAGGACACAAAGACTGCGTTGCTACAAAATATTGCCTCAAAATGAGCTAAAACTCTTTCCAGACCTTTTCTCTTCCCTTCTTGCAACTCCTCTTCTTTATTCTTCTCTAAGCTAAACTCTCTTTTTCCAAGATTCCTCAGCTATTCTGGTATACTGAGTATTTAAGTAAAGCACTTGAAAACCAGCAAATATTAAAAAATATTATTTTGACCTTCATGCTGTTTTCTTAAACACAAAGATGAAATTTCCAAGTAGACACCCTCACTATACTAAAAGGAATGGCAACTTTCTTATCTTCAAGGACAAATAATTGAGATCAAGAAAATACCATATAAATCTTGTTAGAATAACTCTGATATTTTTTGGGCCTTCACCCATATTTCAGTGACATTTTCACAGTTAATTATTCATTGACCAATTCAGGATATTAGTAACTGATTCAAACTCCTTTACCCAAAATTTGGTTCACAGTCTTTCCAAGATTGCCTACTAAAAATAAACCTATAAAGTTTAGCCTTATTCCATTTTGCCAGAGAAATAATTTGAATCAGTTTTTTAAATAAACTGGATCATTTATATGTTGTATTATCTTATGACTAAAATTCTAAAATAACAGGTGTAAAATCTTTATGTATATATGTATTATGTTGTATATTGTTTCTAATAATAAAATCTGGTGTATTAGCCAAAAATCACTAAAAAAATTATTCAGTTTGGTTAAATAAATGAGTGTTCATATAAAACATACAGTAATTAACCCATTTTCCCTTTGGCACATGTGACTTAAGTAAATCTTTGACATATTAATTGGTTTTAAAATTGTTGATAAAATTTAAAATGTCTTCAAAATTGTCAGTGTATATTTTTGTCTGAGTTTAATGGTCAGACAGTTTTATATTTGCCTCTGATTAATGTTTTAAAATCATGAAGATATAATCCTAGCCAAAAACTAAATGATCTTTTTTTATATTATTATTTGATAAATAAGATTAATTTAATATTGTTGATTTAATACAAAACAGTTGTATTTTCTGAGTTATCAACAGAATGCCCACGCATTTAATATTAAGGGTCTTACTTAGATAAACTCCTACTATTAGCAGGATATGAAATTTGTTAGTAAAAAATGACTGAAATAATGGCTGTCTAATATCTCAATTTTCATAAGTAATATAGGTATAGTTGTTTTAAAACTTAAATTAGGTAATTGTAACTAAAATAAGTGTTCACAGATGAACTTTTCATGTAATTTAAAATCTTAAAATTATGTAGTATTAAATAATAGATATTCATCAAATTTCTGGGTAATATCCAACTAAGAAAAAAACCTAAAACTAATTGCTGAATTAATATAATTTCATTCTTGGCTTCTTCAATTTTATAAAAAGTCACATATTTAGGTTTATTAATCAAAATATATATTTAAAAATATAGGACTAAGGGTGTGATTTAAGAAAATTATAAAAGCTCTAAACAAGTCAAGGAAGATTTGTAAAGGATGAACTATGTGAAGGACATTTCATATGTGATTGGATTGGCTGAGATGGAAAATAAACTGTTTATGTGTTTTTCTAAAAATAAAACACTGATGTCAGGGACACTGATACAAAACCAAACTCTGTTCCCCTATACTTAAAACAACAAGGTTTCCTTAAAGTACTAATTTGCTCTTAATAAAAATGAAAGATATTTTGACTTTTAATTATAAAATCTGTTTCATTAACAGCCATCTTCTTCCTGAGGTTTATTTTATTTTACTAGTTTCAGGTTAAAAATGCTATCCTCTTCATTTGAAATGTATTTAATTTTTTGAGATACAGTTTTACCTTTGAAATATTTCAAATTCATTTTCAGACATTTAACTTTTGCTGTATCTTGCTGCTTGTGATTTGCAGGTCATACATCATTACCTTCAGCTTTTTCTCCCCTTGAGAAGGTGAGGATAATAACTCCCTTGTACTTTTAGTCAGCTCATATAGCTTGTTTTCACTGGTCCAACTCAGCTGTTACGGCCTGACCCTGAAATGTTTATTTTCAAGGCCTAGCAAAGCAATATTTTCTTTTGGTATAATTTAATTTTTTATTCTTGACTTTTATTGATGTAATCTTAATTGGCATACTCATAACCTTGGGCGCATTATTTCTATGTCTGATTAATTCAAGTTTTCATCAGGTTTGACTTCTAGTGCATCTAAATGAGCTTTCTATGAGGAGAAACAATCACCAGAAGGTTTTCCGTTACCTTTTGGTAGCTGGTCCAAGAAACAAATACTTTATATTTTATCAATATAATTTTTTGTGTTGCCTTTATTAGGTTTTTTATGACTTAAAAAACTGAGCTTTAAAATGATTAAGGTATTAATTACATCTACGATTACATCTATGTAATTTCCTCTATTGGTTTTGAAATATTTTGATTATCACACTGATTAAGTGAATGAGAATTATTTTAGAGTGACACGGGATTTTTTTTTTAATTTAAAAGTTTTGAGCCTTTTGGTAACTGTGACAAATGTCCTCAAAATTAAATCCTAAATTAAGTATTTTTGACCTAAAATTTACTTTGGAGTTTTCTCTGGAAAGTCTCAAAATATGTACCTCTCACTTTGTAAAGATTTAAGTAATTAGGCTTAAACCTTTGTAAAGTCTTAGATCTAACTTAAATTATTAGATTTAAATAATACAGGAAACATTAATGAATGATAAGTGGTACTAGGTCTTTCATTTAGTTGTGTTTATGGTTATATTGTTAATAAAAATGTTTCAAAAATTATATAATTCATTAAAATATATTACCAGTCATAATTTTGGTTGTTATCTTTAAATGCTGTATATAATAGAAATAACAGAATTTCCTTGTCAAAGGTAAATTTTCATCAGATTATTAATCATGGCTATTCTAAGTTTTTGTCATCCATAGTTACTGTTTTGAATTCTTTTCTAAAAACAGTCACAATCAGATTCATGGAAACAACTTCACCAAGTACAGTTACGTACAGGTTTCTAATAACTTGAAGATCAACAGACTAAATAAAAATTTCCAGTACTCTGATAAAAAACTGATAGATTTATAAAACTACTAATGGAAGCACAATATGAATTGGTTATACAAGAATAAATAACTGATGATTATGTTTTTGTAACTGTTATTTAAAACATTGTTGGCTCTTTATATAATTTTTTTAAGATTTACGGAAATTTTCTCTCTTCAGAGAGCTATAATTTATGATCATTTCGTAAGGAATACTTTTGTAAACAGAGATAAATGTATTTGTGTGTTTTTTTTCTTCTTTGTTCCTCCAGGAATTCAAAAACTATTTGTGAGTATTTTTATGACAACATGACTATTTACATAAATCCAGTAAAATCTGCTCTCTGCTTATAGAAAACATTGGCTATATTACTAATGCTTTGACTGAAATGTCATATTTGAAAATATGCATAAAATTCCTGACTGCAAGTGCTCCCAGCCTTACAGTGAATAAATAAAAACTGTCACTGTCTAGCAGGCCCAGGAAACACAAGGCTGTGAATAATATCTAAAGTCTGCATTGGTTTGGCTTCCTACTCTCAAGAGGTTTTTAAATCTGATATTCTTATACAATCAATGTAGAGAAAATTTGTATTTCCAAAGAAAAATTATAATATACCTGTTACTAGATTGAAACTCTGTACATTGTTTTTGAGGGGTTTTTTTAAAATCTATTTATAGACTAGATTAGGTACTAAGTTTTGGGGGTTTCTCCAATCCAGTTTCTTTCATAAAATTACTAAAACAGGAATTGCTCTATTCCTAAATCCCTATAAGCTAAAACTAGACAAATTTTAAGGATCAGGTTTTTTTTTTTGTTTTTCGTTTTTTGTTTTTTGTTTTTTGCTTGATGTATGGGCCACACAGAAAGGTCACCAAGCCACTTCATGGTATAACCAGAGTCATTCAAACTGGTAAACCAGGATGAGAGGTTGATGTTTCTCATGCTGCAAACAGCTTGAGATTCCTGGCAGAATAATGCTGTAATTAAAATTTTGCAATCAGTAAATTCTATAAGTAACTTGACAAAACTTGACCAAAGATATCTTTTTAGTCCACTCAGTGGGCAAGTTTGACAATACTCCCAGCACAACTTTTTATTCAAATTATACTAGTGATACCTTTTGTAAAGTTAGGATTGACTGCTTTAATTCAACCTAGTCATAAAATGTTATTTAGTGGCTCCAACAGGTCTCACTCACTTTCCTCCATGGTCTATTGATTTGATGAGTTTGTTGCCCTTAGGCTTGGACTCTTAGTTCAAAACCGTTGTACAAATGTACATTTATTATGTTATTAATTCTTTGTCTGTATTATGATTTTTAAACTTGATTCATATTTCTTGCCTAGTTTGTAAAGTCAACTCTAACAGGATAATATTAGCTAAACCCTCAAATGATTACAGATGCCTATGGATTGATAATATGAAACTCAATGCTAGACTCCAGATAAACATACCCATAGAATATTTTTCCTTCTGGACTCTTTGTTATTCAAATGTGGCCCAAGTTCCTGACATAGAAACCCCTACCTTCTCCCTGTCATGGGACAAATTCAACTGGGACAGGTCCATCCCAGCCCTCAGGGACAATTAAACCTAACTGCAAAATGGTTTATCAGTGATGCTTTCTGAAAAAAGATCTTGATCAAAAGGGGGAAATATGGAAGTTGTTTCTACTAAGTGGGTCATGCTTGTCATGACCAACTAAAACAGAGTCGAGAGGTCAGAATGAAGAAGCACTGACCTTGCTCCAAAAATCTAATCCTCTGCAAGTCTGGCTGTTAAAATTGCTTGCTGTAATCTGAAACCAGTTTTATCTAATGGCTACTGAAAAAACCTGCTGAAACTCTTAAGACTAGTTTTATTCACTGCTGTCCCTCACTAACCAGAGCTTGCCAGCTACTGACAACTTTGCTAGTGTCAGCAAACATTCTTGAAGAACAATACATAACATTTCTCCTTTTCATGAAATTCCTAAGCTTCTCTTAAAAGCTTGTTCTTTGGACATATGGAAGACTAGTGGTCAGCATGTATGCCCCAAATTGCTATTCTTTCTTCCAAAATAAAACATTTTAATTTTAGAGACCTATCTCTATATTTTACTTGACTTTGACACTACTATGCTATTTGTCTAGAAAAGTTACAACTCCAATCATAAAATTTTATCTACTTACATCTCTCTTATTTTGGAAAGCTCCATACATAAACAAAAGCACAGGAAATAGAATATTGAATTTTGATGAATGTATGCCCTAGATCAAATAAAAATCAACTAGTGTTTACTCTTGCTATAGCTCTATATTTTGCCTTACACTCCAGATTGGCACATTATTTTTTAAAATACATAATTCTTATTAACATAATGGTTCAATAAAAATGGAAGCTCAAGAAAAAAATAAAAAAGATTAAAACTAATAATTAAAAAAATTCAAAAAAGTCTTTTTTACTATTATCTATCAGGGTGTTATGTAAGTGAAATCCTAATTTTGATTAACATTATGTCATAAAAATTTCTTTATTCACATAGACTTCATAATCTTTGTACGAAACAAATACACAAATATAATTAAAAATTATCCAATTGTTGAACATTACTTGTTACATTTTTAAAGTCTGTATTTGTTACAAGTAGAAAAAAAGAACTTTAGAGAAAATTTTAGAGAAATTTTAGAGAAAAGTTTAGAAGTTTCTAGATGTTGTTTTAGAGGAAATGATGCATTGCAGAAGGCTACAATGTATCATTTGGATGTTTTGCAATGATGCGGAGCATTTCACAAAATTCAAGGCAGGTTTGAACTCCCAAGCCTCAGGAAGAGTAGGGCCAGGGCAGTGATGTGGACCAAGGTAGCAGAGGTTTAGGGACCTGCTCTGTGAAACACCACTTCTCAAGTTTTATGGTGAAAATCAATCCTTTAGCAACCTTGTTATAAGGCAGATTTCCACACAATAGCCTTAGAGGGAGGCCTGACAGACTGTATTTCTAACAAGCTCCTAAGTTATGCCAATATAGCTGGTCCTATGTCCAGTCTTTGCTATCCACTCTCTGTAACATGATTTAGTAACAATTTCCTCAGGTTTTAGTTTACATTTTCATATTTTTAGGTTAGCTTTATGTATGCATTTGCATCATATGCCCCTATATTTTTTTATGAACAGAAGGTTTTTTTAATTCATTGTCGAAACTGTTGTTATTCTTTTAAATGTTTTTTAGAAAAAAATTCTAATCATTTGTATGCTTTTGAAAACATCCTATTTCCAAAGTGAAGCAACTGGTTGAATTCACTTGTGGAAGAAATCTAAAAATTAGTTTCTGATGTTAAAACAAATAAATTTAGAAGTGTAAGGAAGAATTAAGTAAATCAACCAATAAAGATATATATGAATCCCCTACCAATCTCAAGGCTTTATATTAGATGCATTCAGAATATAAACAAAAGAAACATCTTTTCTCGTCTCATGAAATTTATAAATTTATTTAGAGTCATTTCCTATTTTTAAAATAGGTTCTCTTTCGAATTTCATTCAGTGACTGGGCATGAAAATCCATATCCATTTCAATAAATGGAAAATCCCATCTAAGTCAAATCAATTTCTTAAGAGTTGCAGTGGCTGTGGTTGGAGTTGGCAAGCCTGTTGTATGTCACATCTATATGCCACATGAGCAATGCATTAGATGGCACCAAATGTCTTGTTTTTGAAAGTGAAGCTATGCATTCCCATCAAGCATTTGAGTTAACAATAATATGACACTATCTATTTAATGATAAAAGTTCAGTTCTATCAAAATGTAATTTTTTATTCAAATAGCAAGCATTGTTGCCTAATATTAATATTTAATATTCATTAAAATTGGCACAATCTTTATTTTTAGTAACTTGCTAATTTCTGTAAATAGGAAATATAACTTCCAAATTTTTTCTTTTGTCTTCAAAAAACAAAAACTTAAATGATGAAGAAAATATAAGGCCGTATTTTCTATAGTTCTCTCTTTTGTATACCCCAAGCTACACATCAGGCTGCTTCTATATAATTTTCATAATGATGTATGGCTAATCTTATATATGGATAAAAAGAGTCTACATCAATTTTTAAACTTGTCCATTACCTTTTTTAGAAAGCCACCAGGCTTTAAAAAACAATACCTTCTCAAGGATACATTTTAATTCTTAAAAGAATAAGATCCTTTTCTTCTCTGAACATTTAATTATATAGAAGTAATAAGTAGAACCAAACTTAAACAGCGATATCAACTAAGTTTATCATAGAGTTTAAATATTAACTAGGATGATAGCACATATGACTCAAACAGTTTGCCTTTTAGAATCTTAATTGCTCCAGCGAGTCTCATACATTGTGCCAGGCTCTGAATTCATTCCCTAGAAACTAACTTGCAGCACAAGAACTACTGACAAATGAGCTGGTTCATCATGCCTATTTGGAAGGACATTTGGTGATGGTGGTTATAAGAATCCCATTACTTTCAGAAATGATACATAATTGTTCACCAATGGGTGGTCCCATTCCAGAATTCACTGTAACTGTTATTTATCCTGAGATATAGGTAACTTTAAGTGATTTTTCTTCACATTAAATGGCTAATAACTTAGCACAGTGCTTGGGGTATATATTTATAGACCAAGAGAAAGGAGTGAATATCTGTCCCATTACCAAATATATCTCAAAATTGTAAAGTACCTTTTAAATCTGAAGTGTGCTTATTTAAGCAGTATTCATTTTCAAAATTCCCTTCCTGATATAGAAATATCTCTGGGAGGTGACATGTTTAAGAAAATGTAACTAATAGTTCAAATGAAAATACATCATAATAGACTGCAGCAAAAGCACAAAACATCAGTCATTCTATATATTTTTGAAGCATTGTATGCCCAATATACAGGTGAATTTATATAGTTTATATTATACAAATATTACATAGTTTATACTATATAAATGTTATGGGTTTCAATGAAAGCAGTCATAATAACAATCAATCTTCTTGCACTTCCCTAGTCTTCTTACCCTAAAACATAAGATAACTTATTTTAGAGGTAGAACCAATAGATTTTAGATCCAGAAGAACATGAAGCAAAATGAAAAATAACTTTGAAATTAGTTCTTGGTTCTTGCTAAGCTGCTATTTTCTCACCCATAAAATGAGAATTATAATATCTCTTTTTTTTTAATTCTAGGATGAAATGGACAAACACATATAAAGTGACCTCTCTAGTACTTGATATGTAGAAGAGGCTAAAGTTAGTGGCTGATATTTTTATTATTAAATCATAATCATTATCATTTAATAGTGCAAATGCATACCAAATTGACCTATTGGGTAATTTTCTAAAAGCCATGTATATTTTTACTATTTTTAGAAAGTTTTCATAGGCAGTCGAGTTTTCAATTTGTTTACTATTAGAGTTTATTGGTTTTAAACAATGGTGTGCTGATAATCTGGTTCTAAAAAAAAAAATGAGCCCTTGGCCAGCTGTGGTGGCTCACACCTGTAGTCTCAGCACGTCGGGAGGCCGAGACAGGTGGATCACGAGGTCAGGAGTTCAAGACCAGCCTAGCAAGATGGTGAAACCCTGTCTCTACTAAAAATACGAAAATTAGCTGGGCGTGGTGGCAGGTGCCTGTAATCCCAGCTACTCAGGAAGCTGAGGCAGAGAATTGCTTGAACCTGGGAGGTGGAGGTTGCAGTGAGTCAAGTTTGCACTACTGCACTCCAGCCTGGGCAACAGAGCAAGACTCCTTGTCAAAAAAAAAAAAAAAAAAAAAAAAAAGCCCTTATTTGAAGCATTTGCAAATTTCAGTCATCTAAATACTCCCATCATGGACAATTTCAAGCTATCAATTTCATGTCACTGAATCAAAAATTGGGAAAATGTGTGCACAATAGTTTCTTATGAGCTGGTACAAGCCAGCTCCAGCACACTCCTAGCTCTAGGTCAATTCAATGTTATCCAATTATTGGAAATGACCAACTCAGTAAATGACAAACTCAGCAAATGATCAACTCATCAAATGACAAATATGTCAAGTAACCAATTTACAAAATGACAAATTTATCAAAAGCCAATTTTCCAAAAGCTAACTTCCAGAAAAATAATGTGTCATATGATCAATTCCCAAGTGACCTTAGTTCCTAAAACATATCAAATTCCTTAAAGAGGAACTAACAATTTCTTTATTCATTGTTTCTCCAGAGGCAGACAAATGTAGGGGGAAAAGAAAAGCTTAAAGATATAAAGAAGATAGGCAATTGTACATATAAAAACATTTGAATATAAAATATGCTCACTGGAATATACCACATGCATGACTCTGGCTTGTAGCCAAACTAGACTGAGAATGCTGCAACTAAAATGCAGACAGGCAATGAATAATCAAATTTTGAAAAAAAAAATCCTAATCAATTTGGCATTTTTTAATTTGCTATCTTAACAGGCAGATTGGTTTTTCAGTGAATTGACTTTACTTAAATTTACTCTTACAATCTTTATGTGCTATGCACTTGAAGATACTGAATCACAGAGACTATTCATAGCAAATTTAATCACTGGGGTCTTGATATGAACTTCCAGGCATTTTTAAAGACCTATTGTCAAATTGTGGATGTTTGATTATTTTAAGATGTAACTCTCCACATTAGAGTTAGGAGATATAAATAAATCAATTGGATGTAAATCTAATAGTTTGGCAATTGCATTTAAAATCATCTAGGTTAATACATGATTTAACTTACATAACATCTAGGCTAATACAGAATTTAACTTATATAACTCACCTTGAACAAAATTATTAAATACCCAGTTTGTCTTTATACTGTCTTTCTTGAACTTCCCTTTCAGTGACCATCTGCAGCTTTTCTGATTGCCCTGCAAGTAACACAGATACATTCCCTCATCTACTGGCAAGCTTACATATATTCTTCAGTCACTCAATCCCCACAGACTCTTTCTACTTTTGCCTCAGCCTAAGTAGCCTCAGGGAATGGTACTTTAGAAAGTATGCTAGAAACAGCACTATTGAGATTTGAAAGAGACCTTGCCTGTTGTTTAAATTTATATTGGATTGTATTGATTTAATTTATTGAAAGTAAATCCCAAAGAGGTAAAGTGATTTACTGAAAGTCCCATGGAAGTAAGTTTACTTACAAGAAGTTCACTTGAGATAGAATATTTATGGCTAGAATTTTTTTCATAGATCCTTCTATCAAAAGATGCACCCTGTTTTTTCATCCATTTGAATTCAGCCTGGCTTTCTGACTTGCTTTGACCAACAGAATTAGGCAGAAGTCATGTTGAGTAAGTTCTAGAGGCTGGACCTCAAGGACATTGCAGCTTCTGCCTTTGCCCTCCCTCATGGAATGCAGCCATAAAGCCACAAGGTAAGGAAGTCAGTCCTACTGGAGTAGGAGAGGTCAAGTGAAGGAGAACCAGGGCCAGCACCAGCTATTCAAGATGTGAATGGAGCCATCTGGACATTCCAGACCAGCCAATATTCCAGCTGAATGAATGTAGCATGGAATAAACCCAGATAAGAAACAAAGGAACCATCCAGTTAACCAACAGAATTGTAAGAATCAATAGATCATTGTTGTTTTTAGTCATTAAATTTTGGGGTGGGATGTTACATAGCAGTTAATTGATTTGTTTTTAAAGGCACGTTAGAAGGCCTACAGAAATACATACATTACAGGTTTTAGAAAATAAAGAAAATAATTTGGGACATCAAAATGAAAGGAAAAGTGAAGGTACTGTAAATAAGATTGGTAGAGGTGGAGAAAAAAATAAATATATCATCCAAAAAACAACCAGCTACACCTGACAGGTCCATGCCATGACAAGGGAATACCTCATGAGTTTTGAAATGGGCCTTTCATATTTCTGCATGTTTTACAAGAAAGGACACTGAATACCTTTGTTCTTAACTATCTTTTAAAGGATATGTATACAGTGAAAAGTGTTGGAAAACTAATGTCCTATTAGGAGCAAAGGGCAGGCATGCTAACTGTAAGTATAAAATATTCAGGTTTCCTAAACTCATGTTTCCTCCCCTACTGGGTATATATGAGTCATCTTCTCCTCTTCACATGGCCCAGAAGGAACTGAGGCTAGGAAAAATGGTGCCAAAACATGCTGATGATCATGCTGATTTGTGTGCTGGGAGTAATAAACTCATTTGTCTCTAACCCAGGAGTTTTGTGTCATCTGCCAGCGTCTATGAAATTTTGCCAGGCTGACTTGTTAGCTTGAGAGAATGAAAAACATCTCAAACTCTTTAGTTTTAACAATGAGGTGTTCTACAACAAACACCAAGTAAAGTTGTTTATCTTAGGAAGTGTATTTGAGTGTCATCCATTAACAAGACAAGAAAGGGAAAAGAACCAGGTCATTTGACCCCAAAGTCAGTACTCACTTTTATTATACATAGTAGAAAATTTTATAACAAGTCCTCAATAGTGTTAATAAATTATAATATTTTTCCCATTATCTTTTGCATAGGGAAAAATGCCTTAATCAAAATAATAAACAGCTAGTGAATAACTGCAGGATTAATCAAATGCATGAGAAAAATATTTTGTGGCAGAAATTTCCAATTTCCTCCAGTTTGTGTAATTCAACTAGCTATTTATTCCAGCTGCAATATAGTGTAAACGTAAGAGCCAGGCTTTGAAATTAGGGAGACCTAGATCCAATCATGGGCTTAGTTGTACAACTTAGAAGAGCTGTAGCTTATTCTAATTTGTACACATTTGGGCAAATGATACAGTTTCTTCACTTTAAAAATGGTATAAATTTTTCAAATGTAATGATACCAAACAGGCTGTATTATTTCGAGGATTAGAAAAATTGATGTTTTATTCCTACACATTCAAACAATCTAATACTTTAAAAGGAATCTAATCATCTTATTTGAAAAAAAAAAGCCCTCGATTAGGGAAAAAATAAGAAATAAATAAGAATCATGAACTTCACTATGAACTTCACCATCTCGATATAATACCTTTTGAAATGGTAGAAGTTTAATGCTTGTCTACTCCAAATCTTCTTTTTAGATTTTTTTTTTTTTATCTTGGGACATCAAGATGAAAGGAAAAGTGAAGGTACTATACGATTGGTAGAGGTAGAGAAAAAAAATAAACATATCGCCCAAAAAACAACTCTTTTTAGAGTCCTAGGGAGGCTGTCAGTTTCACAAAGTGACATTCTAGCTCACTGAGTCCATATATTGATGACTGAAGAAAGAACTAAAAAGAGACTCCACCTGTCAGAAATGCATCACATCCTACTACCTGTGGCCTTCCTGCCTGTCTGCTAATTAGTTAGCATCCATCCAAACCCATTCAGGCCAAAAGCATTTTCCAAAGCTCAGAGTTCCAATGATTTTGGCTTTTAAGTATCAAAGTTAAAAATAACCTTTATAGAAACATCACATAGGGGCAACAAACACTCCACATTTGGCACTTTTCAGAGAATGAAGCTTCTCTTTGAGGAATTGCAGGTTTTCACTGAAGCACAGACATGTCATGCCAGATGAAATCCATCATGATGAATAGTGAGGAAAACAACAAACAAAAAAGCATGGAAATGCTTTCTTTTTCTCCATAAAATGAAGAAAAATTAACATCAGCAAGCCCTTCAATGTGTTTAACTTTGACTCAGTTATCAGATGTGAAAAACAGTCTGAAATCACATTGCCTCAGTTCTCAGATGATTCTGCAAGGTTTGTTGACTAGGTATCTGGCAAATACTCTAGACCACTGCTACTGGCATGCATATCTAACAGATGTTAAAAATGAAAAGCTGACAGTTTTTATGGTATAATTAAATCTTTCCTTATTTCTCAAGTGCTTTTTAATTTAATTTCAATCAAAAGTAATAACCATATATAATGGCTGTAATAAGACATTCATGTTCTATGTAAGGAGTTACCTACTGTGCTTTAAGAAAAAGTCTTGCAATAAGAAAGGCTCTTGTCAAGGTTTATGGAATGCTTCTAAAACATTTGGAAGCAATGAAGTTACTCAAGAAAAACAAAGTTTCAGGTGGTCTCATAAAATGGTAAAAAAGGCCATGCCATCAATTCTATAATACGATGTTTTTTGCCAGTTTCCCACCTTTGTTACTGAAATGAGAAGAAACATTTTCTTAGAAGGGCTGTCTTATGAATACACACACAAGAAACAGGTTATTTTTATTCATCAAGGCTGATAAAAGTAACTGAACAGATGATCAAGGGACCAAATAATACTGAAGTCACTGAGTTTAACTTACAAATATTTCTTCCATTGGCTTGGTTATAAGTGTGGCTTGGATACATTTCATAGTTAAAAGGGACACTAGGTATGAGCTGGTCTGACCTTCAAATTTCATTAATGAGGAATGTGAAATCCAAGTATTAGGTGTGATTTACCCAATCAGTCATGACTGGTGAGTTGAAGAATCTAAACTGGAACCCAGGTGTCATGACTCCAAATCCAGTAGCTTTTATATCTAAACACATTGCTTTTTCATTAATAATGTTCTGCTGAAAATCAGACTTATTAAAGTTATAAAACAGTAGCTCAGAACTATGCTATCCTTGTCTATGTATATCTTCTCTAATCACTACTACATTTGAAGTACAGATATCCCCTACCTTCGTCTAAGTAGGTTTTTAACTGGCTCATTACTTTACTTGGCTAGCACAGAGACTAGCAGAGTGTTCATAGTTTGAGTTTAACTTATATATTTTAACATGAAGTTACACAGAACTCTGTGATTTGATTTAATTTAACGTACTGTCATGGAAGCTGTTAAACCTGAGACATATGTTGTAGAATGTTTGGCTATAACTATGTTTCATGTAATGAATTGTGGTACAATAGGTAACTTTTTATTGGTTGACTATGATGGAAACCCTATTTAGGATAAATATTGATGGGGCTAGGAAATGTCACGTGAGTCACTCTTGAGGGACAAAAATGTATATTCAAATAATTCAAATACATATGCAAAGCAGAGCGAATTGAAAATGTTAAACACAATCCTGACCCAACTATTCTAACTCAGTCAATAGGACAAGTTACAAAAATAAAATATGCTCTTAATGCAGGTATTTTCAAGGTCAGAAATCATTCTATGTGACAGGTTCTGACTCTTGAAGTTGAGTGTTACATTCCATGAGAAATTGTGATTTTTGTGGGTGTGGCAGAGACTGAGCGGCACAATAAAAATTTACTGGGTTGTCTACTTCAGGAGAAAATACTGAAAACAAATGTTATTCTCATTTCTGTAAAATCATCGTCACTTCCAGATGCAAACTGTGGCTTGATAAAAACAGCACCCAGTTGGTTGCTAGACCTTGGTACTGCCTTAGCTCTGAAATTAGTTAGTTGTTTCTCAGTTAAACCTTTAACATCTGTTACTTTATGTCAGAGGGAGGCATCCAAAGAGATATTATTTAAGGGTTCTCTTTGTTTTAATCAATTTTTGAAATTTTATTTTTTCAAATTTCTTATGTAGTGACACTTTCACTTCACTCAGCCAAACTTGTTGACTATCTTATTTTCCATTTTTAGATTTTTAAATGGGATTTTCCAATTATTAACCTGAGGAATCTCTCAGGCAATTTTGATGACGCTCATATAACCACAACTTTCAATATCATTCCCCAAGATTCAACTGCAAGTGATATCCACATGATTTTCTGCCAAAAAAAATCAAAGTTCTAATTGTCATGAAAGTAAATATGTTGTTATTTTTGTAATTGTTGAACCTGAAAAATGTCAGAGAATTCATATGAGTGCTTAAGAGAATTGAATAATCCTTTTAGTGTGAAACATTCATATTTCAAACCAAAGTCTAGCATTTCCTTAGCATACATAATTTTTTATTGCTCAATAAAAGAGGTGAAAGAGCTAATATTTGGAAAATAATATGGCAAATAAGTGTTTGGAAAAAATCTATGCTTTAATATCTTGTAGCAAATTTTTAAATAAAATCTATTTTTTCTAATAAGCATTGACAAGTTTAAAAAGTTCAATTACCAGATTCATTAACTATTGTGTATAAAAAGAATGATATTGTAATTGTGTTGTAAAGTGACATATAAGAATATACCATCTCCTAATATTATCTTGATGCCCGTGATAGTCATTAATGCTTTTCAGTAATATTTCCTGCTCTCTAACACCTAGGTTTGTGATAAAATCATACTTCCGAGGCTGGGCGCAGTGGCTCACGCCTGTAATCCCAGCACTTTGGGAGGCCGAGGCAGGTGGATCATGAGGTCAAGAGATAGAGACCATCCTGGCCAACATAGTGAAACCCCGTCTCTACTAAAAATACAAAAAAATAGCCGGGCGTGGTGGCGGGCACCTGTAGTCCCAGCTACTCAGGAGGCTGAGGCAGGAGAATGGCGTGAACCCAGGAGGCAGAGTTTGCAGTGAGCCGAGATCACGCCACTGCACTCCAGCCTGGGCAACAGAGCGAGACTCTGTCTCAAAAAAAAAAAAAAAAAAAGAAAAGAAATCATACTTCCTGGTCTCCTGCAATTAGATGGGCCATGTGAGGCATTCGGGCCAGTGATTGATGTGAAGAATTGATGGTGTCACTTCCTGGTTGTATATCTGATTGCCAATTGCTAAACTTTTCAGCTCCTTCTTCCCTTCTTGGCTGTGTTCTAGAGGGGGTTCCTTCAACAACCTAAGTCTTAGAGTAAGGAGGGGAATGATGTATGGCAGAGTCCAGCTAACCCCCAAGGAAACAGGGCATGACCAGAAAATAAGCATTAGTTGTGTTTTTTTCAGTTCTTACTTGTCATCAGAGCTTAATTAAATCTACTTTTACTAATACAATAATACAATAACTATTAACATTTGCTATGTTTACAGTCTTAGGCTGGGGATGAAATACTTCCAATCTCCTCCTCACCTTCAACACCACCAGCACCAAGAGAAAAGTCATTTGAAAACAATTAAGGTGCGACCAGATATTATCAGTAGAATCATAATATTGAATTTTCTTCCACATAATTATTTCAAAATTGTTCAACTGGATTATTCCGATCAGAATTTCAAAGTATGCTGTCATTAGATCTACTTGCTTTTCATTATTTTCTTTTCATCTCTTTATAATTTGCTGTTAAGGCAATAATCTTAATGACTCAAATTTTTGAGCATTTACTATGTGCCAGATATAATTCTAAGCCATTTAATTTTACTAAAGAATTTAATGCTAACAAGCACCTTATCGAACATGTACAGAGATGGTACATAAAATTCCCAAGGCCATCTAATAAAGGACACAGCTAATATCCAAATCCAGACAGCTTAGCTCCAGAGCTTTCACCCCTAGTCATTAATCAATACTGTACCACAATAGGCTCTAGATGAAGATGCAGACAAGACTAGTAGCTATTGACTAGAGACTGATGAGTATTAATTAAACAATTGACAATTTAAAATCAGTAGTTACTATATTTACTATATTTTAACATATACACATTAAAATCTTTCTCTAAAATCTGAATATTTGGGAATTTATAAGCTTCCTTAAATTTCTAGGAAATATGGTGTTAAGAAGACTAATGACAGAAACAAACTGTTCCAAATTAAAACCAGATCAAAGGTTAAAAATCAAGTCAGCATACATACTTCCATATGCAAGTATGACAAGCTAAAATTTGCTGAACGATCCCCAGTCTCAGCACACACACACACACACACAAAGCTATAAAACCTCTACCTAACACTAAAACAGCTACCTAAAAAATACTAGAGAGTAAATAACAGTAGGGATGTGGGGGAGTGGGTTGCACATACCCCTTGAGGACGGCATACAGAGTACAAACCACACAAGTACTTCCTGTCTTCCATTTGACCTGGTGCTAACTACCATCTATCCTGAAAGAGCAGTGACTCCAGTAGGTACACGACAAAACAACCTTTGTATTCTGGCTGGAGAACCAGATTAGGGAAGCTAGAAAACCATGTATACTGAAAGGAGTGGAGAATCATAGAAGGGAATGAGCTAGAGAAGGAACCCACCAACTCTTCCTAGTCACATCCCTGACTGATCCCAAAGCCAAACATGGCTGAACAGCATCAAAGTGGTTCATGTAAAGACAAAGATTTGAATTGAGTCTGAGGCTGCTACACCAGAAACAGTGTTTGTTCAGGGCAAAACCAACAACAACAAAAAAATCACATACTAACACCAAAGAAATAACACCGATTGAAGAAAAAATGAAAGAATACAGAATCTGAACAGCTGAACATTTGTAAAGCCCACAATACAATGCTTTGAAAACTAAGAGTGTTGTCACAGATAAAGGGAATCACTTCACAATGATAAAAGGATAAATCCATCAAGAAGGCATGCAATTGTAAATGTGTAAATATCCATTAATAGAGCTTCAAAAAATATAAAGCAAAAAAATGACAGAATAAAGTGTGAAATGGGCAATTTTAATGAAATACTTGTAGATGTTAATACCCCTCCATCACCGCTTGATACAAGAATTGTCAAAATTCATGAATGAGAATTGATATAATTACTACACAAGGATAAGGAATGTATGCATGATACAACCAAACACTTTAACCTAATTAATATACATGCATAGAACACTAAGCTGTAAAACAAGACAATACGCATATTCATTTCAAATACACATGGTATTACATGTTTAACAGGATAGAACAGTCTGCATCATAAGATATCTCAATAAAGATAAATCATTTCAAGCTAAACTGAGCATGCTTTCTTACCATGATGAAATTATATTTAAAATAAAAAAAACAATAACCCCAAATCTCTGAAATATTTGAAAATTAAGAACACACTTGTAGATAACCACTGACCCAAAGGAGAAATCACAGATAAATTACAAAATAGTTTGAACTGAGTGATAACGAAAAGGCAACATGTCAACGTTTGTGGAATAAAGGGAATGTAGTGTTAGAGAGATATTTGAAGCTTTCAATATTTACTTTAAAATAGAAAGAATGATCTCAAATCAATGTTCTAAAATTCTACTTTAAGAAACAAGAAAAAAGAGAGAAAATTAAATCTATGAAAGCTGAAGAAAAGATAAAGGTAAGTGAAATAAAAAATAGGAAGCAGAAAAAAAATTCAAAAAAATTAGCAAAACCCAAATCTGTCCTTCTGAAGAGGTGAGCAAATTCAATAAATCTTCAATAAGAATGACCAAGGGAGAAAAAGGTAGACAACACCAGTTACCAATGTTAGAAATGAAAGAGGGGATATCACTTGTGAAAGGAAAATAAAATCTTGAGACTCCAATTCACTATGCTAAAAGGAAAAAATTAAGCTGAAAGCTAAGTTATGCCAAAAAAAAAAAAAAAAAAACACCCTGCCTTTCCTTTTGTTCCTAAGCAGATAACTATAGACAAAAGTTTAGATATCGCCACAGATAGCTACTCCATGCTCACTTTATCTTATGTAAAGTGCTGGTTTATTGAGCATGTGAATACATAATTGGTGATCCCCTACCTGCTCCTTTTCCCTTGCAATGTATGGATTCAGTAGTATGACCATACCCTCCCAGTGTCCCCTCTAGCCCACTTTTCCAGTTTAAATGTTGAAGTCCTCAAAATCATCCTTGGGAAAAGTCATGAACCACAGATTGTTCCTGTGGTGTGGCTTTGTATTCCTTTTAACTGGACGCATCCTTAACCTTGGCAAGATAAACCTCAAAATTGATTCAGACTGTCTCAGATATTTTTGGGGTTTTGTTTATTTGTTTGTTTTGTTTTTATTTATTTCTTTTTTGAGACAGGGTCTCACTCTGTCACACAGACTGGTGTGCAGTGGTGTGATCTTGGCTCACCGCAACAGCCGCATCCCAAGCTCAAGAGATTATCGTGCCTCAGCCTCCCAAGTAGATGGGACTACAGGCACATGCCACCAGGTTCAGCTAATTTTTTGTGGATATGGGGTTTCACCATGTTGGCCAGGCTGGTCTCAAACTCCTGACTTCAAGTTATCTGCCCGCCTCAGCCTCCCAAAGTGCTGGGATTACGGGCATGAGCCACTGTGCCCCGCCTCAGATACTTTTTGGTTTGCACACTAGAGATGCTATAGACACTGAAAATAGAATTTAAAAATTATAGGCAACTTTACTCCAAAACATTTGACCACCTAGCTGAAATAAATTCTTTGAAAGACATAAATTACCAAAACTCAGTAAGACATAGAAAATGTAAACTATTATATACCAATTAAATAAATTAAATTAGAAACTAAAAATTGCTTCATAAAGAGAACTCAAGGCCCGAAGGGCTTTGCTATTATTATTTATGCCTGTGCTTCCAGAATGAAGAGAAAAACATCTATAAAGGGACAGAAACATTTTATAATGAGGAGCTGTTTGATGTCTTCATATAATAATTACACTGTTATATATAATTAGCAAAAGTCATCAAAACTCACAAAGCAATTGGAAAATGTAGCCAGGCATGGCGGCTCATGCTTGTTACCTTAGCACTTTAGGAAACGAAGGTGGAAAAATCACTTGAGGCCAGGAGCTCGAGACCAGCCTGAGCAACATGGCAGGGCCTACAAAATAAATAAATAAATAAATAAATAAATAAATAAATAAATAAATAAATGTTATTTTATGTAAATAATGTTCAATTAAACATTAATTAAGAAAATGTTTCATTGCTGAAAAGAAATCAAGAAGGTACAGACTTAAAATCTCATGAGTGATTTTTAGTATGCTCTGAAATACAAGACCCCTAAGGTTGTACATCCAAAAGATTATTATAAACAGCATTACAGAAATTACCAAAAAGGCAAGTCTGTTAAAACCAAATGTCATATTTTATTTGAAAATTTTATTAATGCAAATAAAAACAGAAGTTAAACTCTGCAATGACTTTGGGGGGAAAAAAGTACAATTTCAAATGCAGAACTCCAGGTGTACAAAAGCATGTTTGATAGAGCCAATGAGTTATCGATCAAAAAACACTCTTTTCCTAAATTATCTTCCAAACAGATAACAGAGACTGACAAAAAACCCAAGACTTATCTTTCACCTCAGCTATTGTGACTTTTACAATTGGTTCCTCTTAAGAGAATGGATTTCTGTTTTACCTGACTTTGAATTTCACAAAATAGTAAAATCCCCAAATTACCCTCCTCAAAAAACTTTTAACTAGTGAGGCCTTTTAATTTTGTCAAATTAGTGGGTTTATTAAAAGTGAAGAATAAAAATAAATAAATAATAGCATATATCATCCCTTAGTGAAAAAAAGAAAATACTTTAATACCAAAAAGGAAAGACCAAATATTATTAACATAATAAAGAATAAATGTTTAAAATTAACTTTATGACAAACTCACTACATTGACCTTTTTTCATTGCCACACTGTCCAAGAGAAATTTCATTTAGAAATTGCTTTCCAGAATGTTTGGAACCATTGGTTAATTTTGTTGTGTTCCTGTACCTAGTTTTTGGAGAGAAGCTGCTATGTTCACAAATCACAAAGCCTGCTTCTTCATTTCTAAGCTTATATCATCGTTTTTTCCTGATGACCATCTAGCCAATATGAAAAGTATTGTTGGTCTGTGGGAACAATTGAGATTAGTCTCAAGAATACCAAATGTTGACAATGATGTAGAACAACTAGAACTCTCCTGCATCCCTAGAAGGAATGTGAAATGGTACGATTCTCTGGAAACCAGTTTTGCAGTATCTTACAAAGTTAAACATACATGTATCAAACTATAACACAATTATTTTCCTAGATACTTACTTACCCACAAGAAACTAAATTATGTGTATATAAAAAGACCTGTACTCAACTATTTATAGCAATTTACTCACCAGTAGCCAAAATTGCCCCAAAAACATTCAAATAACCATCAGTTGGTGAAGAGATAATCAAATTGTTGTATATCTTACAATGGTATAGTATTCAGCAATAAAAAGGCATAAATTAGTCTGCTTTCATGCTGCTGATAAAGGCATTCCCAAGACTGGGAAGGAAAAGAGGTTTAATGGACTTGCAGGTCCATATGGCTAAGGAGGCCTCACGATCATGGCAGAAGACAAAGAGGAACAAGTGAGGTTTAACATGGATGGCAGCAGGCAAAAAGAGAACTTGTGCAGGGAAACTTCTGTTTTTAAAATCGTCATATCTCTTGAGACTTATTCACTATCACAATAACAGCACAGGAAAAACCTAAACCCATAATTCAAATACTTCCCACTGGGTCCCTGCCACAACACCTGGGAATTCAAGATGAGATTTGAGTGGGGACACAGCCAACATATAATTCCACTCCTGGCCCCTCCCAAATCTCATGTCCTCACATTTCAAAACCAATCATGCCTTTCTAACAGTCCCCCGAAGTCTTAACTCATTTCATCACTAACTCAAAAGTCCACAGTCCAACATCTCATCTGAGACAAGTCCCTTTCACCTATGAGCCTGTAAAATCAAAAGCAAGTTAGTTACTTCCTAGATATAATGGGGGTACAGGCATGAGGTAAATACAGCCATTCCAAATGGGAGAAATTGGCTTAAACAAAGGGGCTGCAGGCCCCATGAAAGTCCAAAATCTAGCAAGGCAGACAAATCTTAAAGCTCCAGAGTGATCTCCTTTGACTCCATGTCTAACATCCAGGTTACAGTGATGCAAAAGGTGGGTTCCCATGCCCTTGGGTCGCTCTGCCCCTGTAGCTTTGCAGGGTATAGCCCCTCTCCTGGTTGCTTTCATGGGTTGGCATTGAGTGTCTGCAGTTTTTCCAGGGTCATAGTGCAAGCTGTTGGTGGACCTACCACTCTGGGGTCTGGAAGAAGGTGATGGCCCTCTTCTCACAACTTCGCTAGGCATTGCCCCAGTAGGGACTCTGTTTGGGGGCTCTGACCCCATATTTCCCTTCTGCACTGCCCTAACAGAAGTTCTCCATGAGACCCCCATCCCTGCAGCAAACTTCTGCCTGGGCAGCCAGATGTTTCCATACATCCTCCAAAATCTAGGATAAGGCTCCCAAACCTCAATTCTTGACTTCTCTATACTCACAGGCTCAATACCATGTGAAAACTGCCAAGACTTGGGACTTGAATCCTCTGAAGCCACGGACTTAGCTGTACCTTGGCCCCTTTTAGTCACAGCTAGAGAAGCTGGGACACAGGGCACCAAGTCCCTAGATTGCACACAGCATCGGGACCTGGGCCCAGCCCATGAAACCATTTTTTCCTCCTAGGCCTCTGGGCCTGTTATGGGAAGGACTGCCATGAAGACCTCTGATGTGCCTAGGAAACATTTTCCCCATTGTCTTGGAGACTAACATTTGGCTCCTCATTACTTACGCAAATTTCTGCAGCCAGCTTGAATTTCTCCTCAGAAAATGGGATTTTTTTTTCTATCACATTGTGAGGCTGCAAATATTCTGACCTTTTATGCTCTGCTTCACTTATAAAACTGAATGCTTTTAAGAGCACCTGAGTCACCTCTTGAATGCTTTGCTGCTTCGAAATTTCTTCTGCCAGATACACACACACATATATATCACAGTTAATCCACTCATTGATGGGCATTTGGGTTGGTTTCACGATTTTGCAATTGCAAACTGTGCTGCTACAAACATGCGTGTGCAAGTATATTTTTCATATAATGACTTATTTTCCCTCTGGATAGATGCCCAGTAGTGGAATTGCTGGATCAAATGAAAGTTCTACTTCTAGTTCTTTAATTGTTTTCCATAATGGCTGTACTAGTCTACATTCCTACCAGCAGTGTAACAGTGTTCCCTGATCACCACACCCAGCTACTTTTTGTATTTTTAGTAGAGATGGGGTTTCACCACGTTGGCCAGGCTGGTCTCAAACTCCTGACCTCAGATGATCCACCTGCCTCGGCCTCCCAAAGTGCACTTAGTGTAAAGTTTCTATGATCCATTCATAATGTTCTATGCATCAGTAGTGATATGGTTTGACTGTGTCCCCACCCAAACCACCACGGCTTTAAGCTTCTTAATGAGCACTGTTGGGTGAGGATTAGTGAAGAAAAATCCAACGAATCCAATTAGAAGTGTTCTCAGTTCTCTCTGAACGTAGTGAATGGAAAAGAGAAAGCTTTAAAGATGAGCCTACAGGATACAGTGGAGCTCTGGTGCCAAATGGCAGTGTTCCAATCTCAGCTCCAGGAACAGGAACGACCATGTTTCTGAACTCTGTGGCACCTCCACTGGCTCATCTGTAAAGTGGGGTAACATTGGCTAAAGCCCTGTCTCCTGCTACTACAGCACCATAGTCAGGAATCCAAACTGCCTTGGGAGGAGAGGACATTCCATCTCATTCCATGTCATTCCTTTTTATAGCTGAGTACTATTCCATCATATATATGTGTATATATTCCATCATATATGTATACACACACACATATATATCACAGTTTATCCACTCATTGATGGGCATTTGGGTTGGTTTCATGATTTTGCAATTGCAAACTGTGCTGCTATAAACATGCATGTGCAAGTATTTTTTCATACAATGCCTTATTTTCCTCTGGATAGATGCCCAGTAGTGGAATTGCTGGATCAAATGAAAGTTCTACTTTTAGTTCTAATTTAAGGAATCTCCACACTGTTTTCCATAGTGGCTGTACTAGTCTACATTCCTACCAGTAGTGTAAAAGTGTTCCCTGATCACCACATCCACACCAAAATCTACTCTTTTAAAAAAAAATTTTGATTATGGCCATTCTTGCAGGAGTAAAGTAGTATTGCATTGTGGCTTTGATTTGTATTTCCCTGATCATTAGTGATGTTGAGCATGTTTTCATAGGTTTGTTGGCCATTTGCATTTCTTCTTTTGAGGCTTGTCTATTAAGGTCCTTAGCCCACTTTTTGATGCGAGTGTTTTTTTTCTCACTGATTTTTTTTTAGTTCATTGTAAATACTGGATAAACATACATGTGCATGTGTCTTTAATATTTCTCCCTTCACTTCTTATACCATTTTTATTTCCTTGCATTGGGTTTTGCCTTCCTCTTGAGGCTCCCTAGTTAGCTTAATAACTAAACTCCTGAATTCTTTTTGAGGTAAAACAGGGATTTCTTCTTGGTTTGGATCCATTGCTGGTGAGCTAGTGTGATTTTGGGGGGGGCATTGAAGAGCCTTGTTTTGTCATATTACCAGAGTTGGTTTTCTGGTTTCTTCTCATTTGTGTAGTCTAGTATTTGGGATGTCTCCCAGGTCCTGTAGGAGCAGTCTGCTTCCTTCAGAGGGTCTGTGGTTCCTCTCAGGATTTCTGGTTTGTTCTTGCCATTATCCTGGAGCTAAAATTCATGATTCAAGCCTCTGCACACTGCTCTGTCTGTCCGAGTCAGAGCTGCAATCTAGTCCTGCTTCCTGTCTGCCATGATGATCTAATTAAGTCTCCCCCAGCCAAATGAATGGACTTTCTCCTCAACCAGGGCTCTTTTAAAATTTAACCCGAGAGACTGTTTCAGGCCATAACAAGAAGTGGAGTTTGACATGCCTTATTTTACCTCTCCTGCCTTAACATCAACAAGACTTTAAGTCTGATAAGACTCATTTTACAACCTGTTCTACTTCCTGAAGGTTTTTCTGCAAATAAAAACTTGGGTCTCTACAATCCTTCATCTAAACCCAGACATCCCTTTCTACTGCTCCCAGGTCTTTAGATAAACTCAACCAATTGTCAACTAAAAAGTTTTAAATCAACCTATAAGCTGGAAGCCCCCACTTCAGGTTGTCCTGCCTTTCTGGACCAAACCAATGCATTTCTTAAATGTATTTGATTGAAGTCTCATATCTTCCTAAAATGTATAAAACCAAGCTGCTTTGAGCACATGTTCCCAGGACCTCCTAAGGAGTGTGTCATGGGCCATGGTCACTCATATTTGGCTCAAAATAAATCTCTTCAAATATTTTACAGAGTTTGACTTTATTTGCTGACATTACTACATGTTAATTATACTTAATTACATTAGTTTTCTAAGGCAAAGGAAAAATATACATTCAAAATTTATACTTTTGTTTCTCAAAACTTGGGTTACCAATTTTATTCATAAACATAATAACTCAAAAATAAAGTCATCTCATGTTTAAAAGCATTAGTGTAAAATGGAAAAATAGTGCAAAATGTATAGTCATAAAGTTGATTAAACACATATAACCATTTCAAAATGACTTGCTTTGAGGCAGAGTGATATGAATGTTCCATTTTTATTTTGTTTTTTCTAAAAATGCATTGTTAGCAAAAGCCAAAATTTGTAAGTATTTTCCTTTAAGCTACTTTCAGTATCTCTCATTTGATTGTTGTCATAAACATATATATAATTTATGTAATGTGTTGCTACATGTTATCAAAACAGTCTTATATGTATCAGCTGCCTTCCAGGATCAAAGGAATGTCACATTACATATCCAACAATACCTGGCCAATTGCTTTATGTCACTGCATATATTGGACTGCATCAATCTGAATGGACATGAACTGATTCAGAATCAGAGTGGCACAGTATAAAAGGCACCAGGCTAATATTGAAGAAACTTGTGTTCTAACCTTGATTCTGCCTCTATAGAAACTTGGATGAGTGACTTCACTTCCCTGGACTCCAATTTTCTCATTCACTGAACAAACATTTGAGACCTGCTTTGTGTCCAAAGCTGATTTTTGAGTTAGGAATAGACACATAGAAGTCATAGTCTGTAACATGATTACAGATAACAGTTGAGTGGAGAAACATAACTATATGAACTATGATGCAGTAATATGGCAAATACCATGATGAAGAAAAAGAAGGCAGGTAAAAACATAAGCTGCTAGATCATTCCCTCAATCCAGGCTTGGTGAAGCCACAGAATTGAGAGACTGACTGAACAACATCTCAGGTTTTACCACAAAATCCCTTGTACTATTGGAAGACAGAGTATTTTTATGTGTAAGGAAAATTACAGCCTAGAGTGGGTGAAGGCCAGATGCCACAGATGTGCTACATGCTGGGAGAGAGCAGTTCTTATTGTCCTGATAAATCACAGTCTTTCTTATCACCCATGTGATTTCTTATCTTATCACCCATCCCATTACTGGGTATATACCCAAAGGACTATAAATCATGCTGCTATAAAGACACACGCACACGTATGTTTATTGCGGCACTATTTACAATAGCAAAGACTTGGAACCAACCCGAATGTCCAACAATGATAGACTGGATTAAGAAAATGTGGCACATATACACCATGGAATACTATGCAGCCATAAAAAATGATGAGTTCATGTCCTTTGTAGGGACATGGATGAAATTGGAAATCATCATTCTCAGTAAACTATCGCAAGAACAAAAAACCAAACACCACATATTCTCACTCATAGGTGGGAATTGAACAATGAGAACACATGGACACAGGAAGGGGAACATCACAATCTGGGGACTGTTGTGGGGTGGGGGGAGGAGGGAGGGATAGCTTTAGGAGATATACCTAATGCTAAATGACAAGTTAATGGGTGCAGCACACCAGCATGGCACATGTATACATATGTAACTAACCTGCACATTGTGCACATGTACCCTAAACCTTAAAGTATAATAATAATAATAATAATAAAGAAAAAAGGAAATCACAAAACAAACAAACAAAAAACAAAAAAATAAAAATAAAAATGTCATGGAAACTAAAAGAAAATCAAGGGGAAAATGTTTAAGGAGTACAAAGGGGAAGTAAAAGCTATAATGAAATATAAGGGTGGTTGGACGGACCAGGGATTCTGTTACTGCACCATGAATTGAAGAATGTGATTATCTCAATCCTGTTAGACTGCTGACTCAGTCAGAGGTTTTAGGGTAGCACAGAAAAGCACATCAACCTAGATAAGGAGAAAGAGATGGTTTGCATCTTCATGCCTCTCAGTCTACTCTATATCATTCTATTACCTATAGACCCTGGACAATCCTATATAATAAAGATGCTGTGTATGGAGTCTCTGCATTTTCCTTCATTTATAACATGTAAACATTCTTTAAAATGCTGAAAATTGACATAATTTTCAGAAATGGAGAGATTAGAGATGGAGTGACATCAGTACCCATTGTGTTTCCATGTGTCCAGCAAATTCACAATGGTATTAAAGCCTGGAAAATATGAGGGATATGATTTATGCCACTAATTTGTTGATCACAAAAACGTTGGTTCCTAATATCTACATCCAGGTAGCCAAGATGGATCACAGAAAATGTGATTTTACCTGTCTCTATAGTTCTGCAGCCTTGTTGCAGGATGAATTGGACATATTTATCCTGAGGATTGGTGAGGAGTTTCTTTTGTCTTGGTTAAGGTCAGTAGTAGTGGACTCAGGTTACAGCATCTAAACAGAGTGGATTGTGGTAAATTGAGGGAAAGGTATGTTCATCTTTAATCTTTAACTAATCTTCACTGTTCCTGACACTGAACTGTCAGGTTTAAACAGACTCTAATCAATAACCTATCATTCAGGGGACAAATCCCAAAGTAGTATGCATAGTCCCATACATACTACTAACTCCTAAGCTCTGAGTTAATGTCTTCAGAAGCTCTGAAATCAATTGTTGAGATTATATCTAGCAAGTTTGTGATATCAAGCACGTGTTCTCCCACAGAAGAACAGCAGATTTCGGACTCTGCTTTCTGTGTTTTCCCTAAGTGGTCTTATATCATCTTATCTTTCATTCTTTATCAACAGTTCTTTATCTTGACCCTTCCCCACTCACGAGTGGATGAGAAAAGCAAAGATTTTATGTTTTGAAAACATGTCAGTAGAACATATACCTGCCGTGGAAGGCCTTTTGTGGATGTGACAGGTTGTTTTAGACACTTTAATATTTTTTTCTTTTTGCACTTTAAATCTCCATCTCATCCTGTCTAGCAGAGTAGATCAAATATAATGAACAAGATTATACAAAAGTTACCTGAAGTCTAAGCAAGTGTAGGAGATTACATTCTGTGGTTTCTAGTTTGGCAAGAAAAAAATGGGTGCTTTATGCTAGGGACTTGCCATTCTTGGTGAAGCCTTAACAAAAAAATCATAAATGCCTATGATGTTTATTTTAGCAGATACTATTTAACGAATTCCTAGCAAGTTTCATTTACTTTGTTTAAAATGCTGCAAATTGTTCTCCTAATCTTTATAACAGTTCTGAAACATGGAGGTCGTTTTGTTCATTTCGCAGGTGAGAAACCAATGACTCAAGGAAGATACCTAATTTGTAGTAGGTAGGTATATCGTCTTTATTAAAGAAGAAAAAAAGTTTCAACATCTATAAAGGAAATATGTATACTCCTGTACAATAAATGCAAAGAATGATACTGCCAGGAAAGCTAGAATAATTTTTTATCTACTTTCTCCCTTATTTTCTTTCTGGTTATATTTTTGCCTCTCTTCAGAAATGCTATACATTTAGATGGTGTGCTGTTGATTTGTATGTTCTCCTCATTAGTTTCCTACAGGCACTTGGCTGTCTGCAGATGTCAGGCCCCCAGGCTGTAAAATTCACTAAGCAGATTGCTTTGAAATATTCTCCCTCCAAAGGCCCTTGTTTAACTTGTGTAAATCTGTTCTGAGTTGCTATCCTAAGTTGACTTAATGTGACTCATGTGTTTTTGCATGGCAGTTTTGTTCAGTGAGTGAGGAAGAATAGTTTTCTACAGTCCCCAAACTCTCTCTCTCCCTATTCTGCACATGTTCTATCTTGAGCTGGTTTGCAGACATGAATAACCAGCAGTGTTGACAATCTGTGTATCCCCACTTGAGTGCCACCATATTGGCTGCATAACATAAAGAGATTGTGTTTTTCATGCCAAATAAGAGAATTGTTGAGTAATAGAAATTTTATTCACTGCAAGCCTCTCACAGGTTCTGCATATTATTCAAATATGTGCATTTACACTATTTTCTGTCCTGTTTTTTCCCTCTTACACACTGCCATCACTTCTGCCTATTTTGCATTTTTAAATTTTTTGCCCAAAGACAGAAGCAGGCATTACTGTGAGGATGGAAAAGTTCATTTTCTGTGTATGCTATTTTGCTTTGCATTATCCCAATTACATAATGCATTTCAAGATCCATAACTTTCTTCTCCAAATTCCCCATAGCAACTTTGCTCTGAGTCTTACTCAGTTGAGACATCTGCTCCCTGTTAATACAGTGAGGACATAATCATTAAAGAGCTTAGATTTGAGGTTTTTGTTAGTAAAAGCCATGCCTCTTTTGCGTTGTCTTCACAGAATTTAGTACATCCACTCACTCCATGGTCATGTAATGAGCATCTACTATGTGCCACACATGGTAGCAAGTGAGACATAAGCACAAATAGATAGATAGTCTCTATATTCAAAGAGCAGACAGTCTGATGGGAGAGATGGTCAAGTAGGCAGACAAATTTAAGGCAGCGTGACAAACACTTCAAAGTAGGTAAGTACAAAGGAATGGAGTATCACAAAGCAGGAAGCTCTCAACTATGTTGTGTTTAAGGGTTTATCCAGATAGGATTTCTTTCACAAGCTGTGTGTGTGTGTGTGTGTGTGTGTGTGTGTAACAATATAAACATTTTATACTCTTTCATAAATGTACCATAATTGATGGTGTACATGAATTTGCAAACACATTGGCAAACATTGAGTCATCTGACTAAAGGGCAATATAAATAAGAACTGCCACGTAATGGCACTATAATTTTCTTTGGGGGGGGTTGCTGTTTTCAGTCAAAATAAAAATGAGTTATCGCTTAAAGTGGAAACATTTAAAATCGAATATATTGTCAGGGTATCTGACCACTAATAATTTAATGTATCCCAATGTCAAAAATACTCAAAAATATCCAATTTCCTTTTGTACACATTGAGTTCTCTTAGCACTTATAAGTATATATATATTTTCCACTAACAGTGTGAAATTGATCTTTTCATAGATTTAATAATTCAGTCTATTTAATAGGTTGAGTTTTTTTGGCATCTTGAAAATATATAATTTTGTGGCATACTATTCTTTGTTTGTTGCAGGCTTGTGGCAAAAAGAATCAGAAGCTGACTGGACACCTAACATGATTATTTGTTATGCTACACAGATGACAGATACTGCCAATGATGACAAATGCTTCCTTGCTATATTAATAGAGACAGTCATGATTGGAATGGAGATCATGGCTGAGGACTGAAGTCATCAAAGGGCCATAGACAGCATAGTGAACTCAGTGGAATCAGAAGAATTTGTATCTTAGCAACAAGTCACATATTTGTATTTCAGGCCTCTTTTTGGTTTCTGACGTATGACATCACTATGATATTAAAGTAAAATAGTTAATAGAATTTTGTAGTTTTTAGTTGTTTATATTTAAAGTGTTGCTGTTATACTATTTTAACAATTGAATAAGACGTAAATATTAATGATCTAAACGTTTTTGTTTATACATATTTAAAGAACATTATAATTAAATAGTAAATCAGTGAGCGGTACTTGTGATGATTATTTTTAATTATCCATTGAATACTTGAGTTTGGAAAACTGTAATAGAAAATGGGGAGCCACTGTTGGCTACTTCATTAGAGAGGCTATCAAAGCATAGTGGAAAACAGCCTTGATTATGTCCAAGACCTAGTTCACATCTTTGCTGTCTGAGTTCTTATGTGACTCTGAGTTATTAATTTGCTTCCACATGTTGAAAATGGAGATAATTATATCTCAATGTGGCAAAATTCAGTGAGATTATAATGTATTAAGTATCCCATATGCTACTTAAACTTAGTAATGTTAACTTCTCCTTTTATATCCCTGAATTTTCATTTTATTTTCTATAAAATGGAAACCTTAATACACACCTGACAAAGCTGTCGTAAGTGTGATGAAATATGGTAGAATCATGTTCTTGTTAAGAAGGGATAAAAAATGGCTCCAGCTGCTCCTTTCCTATGAGAAGAGACAAAATGGTGATTTTTTCCATTATGGAACAAGTATCACTAGAGTGACTTCTTAGTATTATCCCTGTAAGATAAGTAGGCATGCATTTTCCTAGGGAAGAGGTATATAAACAAGAACTTTTTATGAGAGTTTAGGTGTCTGTGTGGGTGAGACCTTTAAAAGGCTCTCCACCCTAACACATGTTGGTAAGCGAGATTCTGAAAAGGGGTGAACTAATTTTCATAATCACCTCAGCAACCTATTGAAAGGAAGAAAATCTAGACACAAAAACTTTCTTCCGAAGCGTCAAATTTAGGGAAACTCGGCAAAGTGGACTAGGATCAGCTTTGATCAACTCTGATGAAGAAGGATGAAAAAATTATGATGAAGCAAGAAAGATTATTATATTGACAATAGTAGCTACCATTTGTTGAAAAGTTCTATGAGTCAGATATATTTCTACATGCTTTGTATGCATTAAATTTATTTATTACCCATAACAGCCTTGTGCTACATGCATTTTTTATGTCTATATGTCTATTATAGAGGAGAATATTAAGGCACAAAGAAAGTTAGGTAACTTCTTCAAAGACACACAGCTGATAGTTTACAGAGATGTTTGAACCCAGACAAATTGGCTTCGGAGTCTATCTTGCTAACCACTTTGTAGGACTGCCTCTTTTCCATGGTGCCACATGGTTAGATTTTATCTAAGTGGGCAAGGAGTTAGGGTGGTACTTGATCCTGAATGTGATGAATTATGAACAATGTCCTAATAGTGCAGAAAGGATGTGTGGACACAGGAAACCACATTATTCACCAGAGGACTTTTCTTGTGTTGAAGTCAATTTCTCAGTCCATGAAACAGGCCCTGGACTTGTTTTCAAATTGATGAAATAGGGGTCAACAGCAATAGCTTCTCGGATATCCTACATACTAATAGGCACACAGAAATTTTTAAACTTACTGGATGGGAGGCAATGTAGTTGGAGAAGGTAGGATGAACCTGTGGTAACTGAAGCATGTGAAGGCGTAAGCATGGTAGTTTGGTTATCTAGGGACACAAGAATATTAGTCCAGGCTGGGCATGGTGGGCTCACGTCTGTAATCCCAGCACTTTGGGAGGCTGTGTCTGGTGATCATGAGGTCAGGAGTTTGGGACCAGCCTGGCCAATATGGTGAAACCCTATCCCTACTAAAAATACAAAAATTAGCTGGGCGTGGTGGCACGCGCCTATAGTCCCAGCTACTTGGGAGGCTGAGGCTGAAGAATCGCTTTATCCTGGGAGGGAGAAGTTGCAGTGAGCTGAGATTGCGCCACTGCACTCCAGCCTGGGCGACAGAACAAGATTCCTTCTCAAAAAAAAAAAAAAAAAAAAAAAGAATTTTAGTCCCACTACAAAAATAAAGTCAAACATCTAATTTATACAAATAACATCATTTTGCAAACCACATGTCATTACATAAAGGTTAGTATCCTTTATCTCCCACTGCCTACCTGTATGAACATGCATGTTTGAAATAAAAATTGAATTTAACATATTATTAGTAAAATGCATGGTTGGTAGTAGGAGGAAGGTTAATATAATCAATCCTGGTATCAGGAAGAGGGAGGTCTGATATGCTTCTGTTCGATGTGTTGTTTGGACCCTTGCTGATGTCTGTGCCTATCAACCGATTTGGTCACTTGGTGACTTGACCTGTTGTTTCCTGAGTTGTGTGTCTTGAGGCTCCTGTTTTATTTGTAAATTACGCTGCACACACCTCTGAAGTCCATATGCTCTGCCATACCCTCTAGTTCTAACGTGCATGTTCTGTCTAGCCTTCTTATTCCAACCAGAGGCCTACTATGGAATAATGATGCTCTGGGCCAAGATTTATATTTGGGAACCTAAAACTCTTTGCTACTATCTGTTTTCTGTGCTGGATTCTAGCTTGCAGGTTTTTTTTTTTTCTGTTTTTGTTTTTATTTTTTTGTAATGCTTCCTGTCAGTCCATCCTCCTGTATCCTTCCCTCAAGTCATTTCAAATCTATCTTTTGGTCAGCAGCATATGGTTAGTTCCTGCATCATGCTGAATACAAGGTTCCCTCTGAGGAGATTGGGGTTTCCCTGAGATGGCCACTGAGAAGCTGGAGAAAGACCTGCTCTAGGATTCCTTCAGCGCTGTGGCTTTTATCTAACTCACCTCTGGGGATTTTAACCATTAGCATTCAGAAAGTAGTCCATTCAGGTCTGCCCTTTGCCCTCTAGCTTCCTCTCTTTTTTTGACCTCTACTTTCCCTGGTTTTAGAATCTTCCTTTGTCTCTAATCTGACTCCTGGCCTTGCCTTAATATTAGAGAGGCTACAGGGCTAAATCCCAATTTCAGAGAAGGGAATATATGTTGGGAAATATTTTAAAAATTACAGGCACATGATACAAATGTACTTAAATATCATTAATTTTCCTAAAAGTATTTATTGTAAGGCTATTTCATATTTTATAAAAGCAGAAAGAAAGAGGAAAGTCAGTCACCCAAATGACTTGTTGACTATATACAAAATACCTAACCTTTTATGTTGGTAAAACGCATGGTTGGTTGTAGGATGAAGGTTAATACAATCAATCCTGGTATCAGGAAGAGGAAGGTCTGATATACTTTTGTGTATATGCTTATGTGTTTTTGCCTGTAAGTGCCAAATGGAACCATTAACTTTTAAAATGACGAACAGAAAACTGTGCATTTTGCAATCAATTACTTTAGGAATCATTTTTAAAACTTTCGTATAAGATCCGACTAACTGAGCACTTACTATTTACTATATTATGGAATACATATACATATATATATTCATAATATAAAAATCCCAAGCTCTTCAAAGGGAACCTTGTATTCAGCATGGTGCAGGAACTAACCACATGCTACTGACCAAAAGATAGATTCGAAATGACTTGATGGAAGTATAGAGGAGGGTGGACTGTTAGGAAGCATTAAAAATATCAATCAATCCTAACCTCTTATGTTCAATCTAAACATATCTGCATTTTCTGCCTAATAGCTCTCAGTGGTCATATTGGTGCCATGTAACAATGCCTAGACTGGTGAGAAATACAAAAATTTCAGTTCTGCCCATGATAATCCTTAACACTTGGACTCATTTAGGATTTTGACAGTTCAGAACATTCACTAAAGAAGAAAGTGGATATAGTACAGACTGTCACTATATTCATCTTTATCTTTAGTCTATTCAAATGTTTAATCTGCTAGTATTAGTATGACAGTTAAGGGTACAGTGAATGGAAATAGCTTGCACTTTTTATTCTGGATTAAACTCCTAGCTTCATTATACCTGATTACAGCTATATTATAGCTGATTATAGCTGAATACATTGGAAGAAATTGTCTCTTTGAATCACAATTTTTTCACTTGTGTAACAAGGTTAATAACATGCACCTTGTAAGATTGGCATGAAGAGGTATATATGTATATGTGTGTATATTTATATGTTTTATATTATAAACATATATGTATAGGTATTCCATAATACAGTAAATAGTAAGTGCTCAATTAGTGGGATCTTATATGAAAGTTGTTTAAATGATTCCTAAAGTAATTGATTGCAAAATGCATAGTTTTCTCCTTGTCATTTTATAAGTTAGGATGGTTCCATTTGGTACTTACAGGCAACGTGAAATACTAAAACAGAAAATTATTTGTATTGTGTTGGGTGTACCATGGTCATGCTAAATGCTATGTAGTTCTTTTATTTTTTCTCTAATATTAAATTAGATTGGAGTGAATAAGTTTCACAGGTAAGTTTTGAAAATAATTGCTTTTCAATCTTCTCTGTTGAGTGAGAAATCATTTTGTATAATCAAATAATAAAACTTTGATAGTCGTCAGCTTCAGACTTAGTTGTAGTTAATGCTCTTAAAACCCTGTCACATACTTTCAGTGGGACAGAGCCATAGGGCATCTGTTTGCACAGTCCTTTTAAATTCTAATAAGGTTTTCTGAAGCATATTCTAATAAAGTTTTCTAATAAGGTTTTCTGAAGGTACTGGAAGTCCCTCCCCACTGCTTCGGTGCTGGCTCAGAGGCAAGTCTCCTCTTTCATCTTCAAACAACTTCAAAGTTTATTTTTGAAATAAGGGTTTCTTTTCCCATGGAATTCAAAGATCTTTGTGGCCTCATGTGAGGAAAGGAGCTCCTAGCTTTCAGAAATGTGTTTAAACAACCGCTGATGTCTTAGTGCCTTGCTAGTAGGCCTTGCTGACCTTCAAAAGTGTTCAGTTTTCTTTACCTTTGTTTCTTGGTCAGCTTGATTGAAGCTGAAGGAGGACCCTGGGGCCTAAGAGAAACTGCTGTATCTGAAATAATGAAATGCCTGGAAAATGCCTTTCCCCGCTCTACCTATGGATTGTTGAGAGATTTAAAAATTAACTTTAGGGAGGATGGAAGGGAGAAAAGGGGAGGGAGGTAGAGAGGAAGGTAGGAAGAAAGGAAAGAAGAGAGTGAGTGGAAAAGAGGAAAGGAAGAAGAGAGAGAGGAATGAAGGGAAGGAAGAAAGGGAGGATGGAAGGAAGAAACTTTCCACTTGTGCACATTCCTTTCGTTTACCCTACACTGATTTTTTTTGTTTGTTTTCATTTGGAAGCTGAGCTATTCTCCTCCCACTCCTTCTCCATTTGAAAATTTCAATCCTCCCGGGATGACAGTTCGCTTGCCAGGAGGCTGTCAGGTGCTCTGCTCAGACCACACCCCTACTACTATAATTAATGCAGGTGCTGGGACTGGGAGGACCACAGCAGCCAGTAATCCCTGGCTCTCTCATAGCATCTGCCTCCAGGTAAACCTGTCATTTGCTGTAACTCTCTGGTATTGACCTTTTTTAGCATCTGGAGAGATGTGATTCATTTTTGGGAGTGTCATTGGAGCTGATGAAAGAGAAAGGAGGAGAGAGGTCTCTTGGGGATTTTTGAAACCAATGTAGAATATTTCTGTCCCAATAACTCCTGTCAGAGAATTGTTGAAAGCTTTCCTTAGGCACAGAAAAACTGGATCTAAGGTCTTGCCCCATCCCCCTTTTTGTGTCTCATTTCTGTGTGCTTGTATCAGGATTATTATCACTCCTCATGTGATGTGTATTGTATTGTTTGCTACTTTTAATGAATATATGCTTTCTCTCTACCAGTGGATCTTTAGCTTTTTCAGGGCAAGATGTCTTTTAATATCCGTTAGTGTTCCACACTTCTCTTTGCAGTGATCTTCCTAGTAAGTGCTTGAAAATAATCAATGACATTTTTTTCCTTCAGTCAAGAAGGATAGTATATTTAGCATGGAATTTTGCTTCTGTAGGAAAAAGGAAGAAATCTGTGAGGGGCAATCTGTCTCTTTTTTGTGAGATGGTAAAACATACTCTTTAAAATTTTTACTTTTGTTTAGGGTCTGTCATTTAGTGTGGAAAAATATGAGAAGTCACTGCAAACTTTTTCAAATAATATCAAACATATTACAAAATATAAAGCCTTTATCTTTCTCTGTTATTTTTATTAAAAATAGCCCAAACCATGTAATACCTAATATAATAACTTCTGGAATTAATACTGAGTATAGCCTGAAATTTCAATTCATTAGTTTTTCTCTGTTCAAATTCAAGATATTAGAAAAATAGACCAATGCCCAATTTTATATAAATGAAAAATTTTAGAACTGAAAAGGGCAAATCATATCTCATTAAGGGAGACAATAGATAGATAAAAGAGTGAAAGAGAAAGAGAGAGAGAAAAAAATCTAAATAACAGAATACACCTTGGATTTGATCATCCTCTTTATAGAGCAGACTCCTTTGGCCAACAGCCATAACTTTACTCTTAAGGAGCTGATTTTGCACTTTATACTCCGTGTAAGCTCACTATATTCTATGGGTGGATACTTACTTGGGTGGGCAAGTTGGGCTTTAGGCCAGCTTTTTAAGAAGAATGAAGTCTTTTGAGAAATAATAAATAGGCAAGTAGCCTAGTGTTTCCTGAGCTAAACATATGTCACAATCCATCCTGATCCAGTGTTTCACCCAAACTAATGATGAAAGTGGATGTAGTAGAAACTGTCACTATATTCATGTACAGTCAGATTTTCACCATCTTGCAGCTTCCATTTGCATGTATTCATTTGTATTGAGTTGCCCTGCCTTGATGATTTTGAATCTCTCAAGGGAGCTTCAACTCAGCAGCAGCCAAGGGGATAAATGGCTGCTTTGCAGACAATCTGATAAGCTTTCAGAAGACAAGCCCCTCTCGAGGCCCTATCTGTTAACACATAATATTTACTTTGCCCAGTTCTGGCTCACCTCTCTTTTCCTGTTAACTTGTAACCTATATTTCAGGCACCTATCATCTGAGAGTCTTACCATATCTTCTGGAATGCCTTGTGAAACTGGAAGATATTCTGCTGCACTGGAAGAAGGTGCCCCAAGTCATGGAATCAGCCCACCTACGTCACTCCCACCCTCCATCCCAGACTACACCATGAGGATAGCAATGTTGAAGACTGAGGAGGAAAGGAGGCAGGCAAGAAAAACAACTTGCCCAGAAGCATGATTCAGAGGATTATAGTCCAGGTGGCAGCATCTCCGACCCAGGGATAGAACCTGTCGGGAAGAAGGCAAAGAAGTTAAGAGTTCCTATGCAGAAATTAATGAAAAGAGACATCAGACCAGATTTTTCAAAGTGGTCCACACTAGACTCTCAAATTTTAAGACTTCATAGCCAAAATCTAAGTATAAAGAGATCATTTGTATTATTTCCAGATGAAGACACAATTAACATCATTGTGAATGAAACCAACCGTTATGCATCTCGAAAGAAGCTAGACCTTGGGCTCACTTTAAAAAACTGAAGTAAGTTTGGGGTGTTCTTATTTTAAATGAATGTGTTCTGTATTAAAAGAAGAGGATGCTTTTGGAAAACTTTCCAGATATACATCATAGCTTAATCACAAATGCAATGAGAAGAGACAGGTTCAAAAGTCTTTTTCAACTTCTGATGATCATAGCCATATTGATGAAGTGAAAAAAATTAACAGTAATGATGTCTTTCACTACCAAAATAAGTTAAAAATTCAAATTATATACACCCTAACAAAAGTTCTACATCTTTGACAAGTCCATGAGTATTTTGGGCATCACAGATTTAATCAATCCCTAGAGAGAAAACCATTTCAGTTTGAGCATAAAATTCGGCGACTGATAACTTAGATTGGCTATTTGGCTTGAATTGAATCCTACCAAGCAAAATCATTAGTTTCTATAAACATGGGGCTTGAGTTGGGAGACAGTCTGGGGATGAATACTGCTAATACTCTAGGAACAAGGCTAATACTTCTGTCACTTATGTTTCAATGACTCTTCACCAGCATCAAGCAGCTGACAGCTTTGAAGGGGAAAGGAATCCAGGCAACATGAATGATTCATGAAAATAAGACTGAACAGTGCTTTCTCAAAAACTGCACAGAACTAAAAAACTGGAAGAGAGGGATGTCTGATTTCCAAATGGACAAACAGAAAGATAGTAGTGTGCCAGTGACATGGCAATGACATCATTATCATCTGCTCTGAGGTGGTAGGTACTAAGACTTTGGAAAAGGTCATACACTATTCAACAGCAGCCAAAAAGAAGTTTAAGTCAATCAACAGAAGATGTGCACATTTTCAATGCATGCATTGAAAGAGAACACTGGGAATGTGAAATAGATGGATCAGAATATCTCCAAACACATTATTAAAGTTAGAGGTAAGAAGCAGTACTCCAGCTTCATCAGTTACATCAATCTGATCATTAACAATAATATCAGCTGCACAAGATCTATACCAGTGAGTCTGGGTTAGACCTGCTGACTTTCCAAAGATATGTTGCATATTTTTACTTGCAATACAATGAAGAACCACTAGGACAGGGGAACAGAGGGAAGTACACCCAATTAGGAACAGGGATCAGATATAATTTGACATTATACTGGATACTCATTAAGATAAAAAAACACATAAGAAAACAGGCATGTGTCATTCTATACCAGGTATGAAAAATATCAGCTAAATTTACATGCAAAATGTTTCAGAAACATATTACAAAAAATAGTTTCTGAGATATTGGCAGTTATTTGCATTCCAGAATTCCTGAGTATACCATTAATATTATGTTTTATTTTGTTATTGTGTGTTTCCTAGCAAAATATTAAGTTTTGGTATCTCATTGATATACATGTAGGAACAAGAGTAATACCTCTATAACTTATGTTTTAATGACTCTTCACCAGCCTGGGCAACAGAGCAAAGGCTGGAGTATAGTGGCGTGATCACAGCTTACAGCAACCTCAAACTTTTGGGCTTAAGTGATTTCCTGTCTCAGCCTACTGAGTAGCTGAGACTATAGGTGCATACCACCATGCCTGGCTAATTTCCAAAACAAAGTTTTTGTAGAGACCAGGTATTGCCATACTGTCCAGCCTTATTATTTTAAAGAGAATATTAGTATTATTTCCCTGAGAAAATAATCAATGCATAATTTAAAAAATTGATACATAATAGATGTACATATTTGGGGTTACATACGATAATTTAATACATTCATATGATTTGTAAAGATTAAATCAGTGTAATTGGTATATCTATCACCTTAAATATTTGTTATTTTTAATGCTAGAAACATTAAAATTATTCTCTTCTATTTCAAAATAAACAATAGATTATTGTAAATTATAGTCACCCTACAGATCTATCAAATAGTAGATCTTGTTTATTCTATCAAAGTGTATATTTGTACTCATTAATCAACCTCTCTCATCCCTTCTCCATAAATATTTTCACATTTTTGAAAGGCCTCGGCTTTCTGATAAAGAACACTAGTAAGCTGACTTAAAGGACTTTTGAATAATAAACATGCTATATTAGTCAAGATTCTCCAGGGGGACAGAACCAATGGGATATATGTAAACGTGTGTGTGTATACATATACATACATATGTATTAGTGTGTGTACACATATACATACATATATATTAGTGTGTATATACATATACATACATATGTATACATTTCTGTATGTATATGTATACACACACACAAATTTAGGAATTTATTAGGGAGAATTGGCTAACACAATTACAAAGACAAAATTCCACGATAGGCTGTCTGCAACCTGGGGAATAAGAAAAGCTAGTAGCATGGCTCCCAGGAAAAGAGGTGCTGTTGCTCAGTCTAAGTTAGAAAGCCTTAAAACCCGGAAAACTGATGATGGCCTAAGATCCCCTGGGAGGGCAATGGTACAAGTTCCATCAGAGTCCCAAAGGCTGAAGAACCTGGAGTCTGATGTTCACAGACAGGAGGAGAAAAGGCCTCCTGCTACAGAAGGAAGAGAGAGGAAGCCATACAAGCTGAATGCCCCCTTTCTTCCATCTGCTTTGTTCTAGCAGCACCCACAGCTGACTCAATGGTGCCCTCTCATATTGAGGGCAAGGCTCCCTCTCCCAGTCCACTGACTTGCATGTCAATCTCTTCTGGGAACACCCTCAAAGACACACCCAGAAACAATGCTTCATCAGGCATCGGGGCATCCCTCACTCCAGTTAAGTTAACACCTAATATTAGTCATCACACACCTTGGAGGTTAGGAGTATTTAAACACTTATCTTCTAGGAACCATTTGCTTACATTCCAGGTGCAATACACCTAACAACCTCACCCTCTCACTGCAGAGGATTTCATAGTAAAAATACATATTGCTCCTCCTCTCTGTCTTAGTCTATTTTGTGTTGCTATAAGGGAAAACCTGAGCCTGGGTAATTTGTAAGAAAAAAAAAAAAGGTTTATTTGTGTCACAATTCTGGAGAGCTCAAGTTTGGGCACCTGCATCTAGTGAGGGCCTCAGGCTGTCTCCACTCGTGAAGGAAGGCAAAGTAGAGCCAGATGTGCACTACATGGTGAGAAAGGAAGAAAGAGAGAGGGAAGGGAGATGCTAGGCTCCTTTTAACAACCAGTTCTTGCAAGAATGGATACAGTGAGAACTCAAGGACCCTGCCCAGCCCCCAAGGAGGGTATTAATCTGTTCATAAGAAATCCACCCCCATGACCCAAACATTTCCCATTTGGCCCCACTCCCAGCATTAGGAACCAAATTTAAACATGAGATTTGGTGGGGAAAAACAAACCATATCCAAACTATAGCACACCCCCACCCCAAGGGGAGGAGGGGCACTTTTGCCAGTCACACCATATAAGCTCTGACTTCCACAATTGTGTGTCTCCTGTCTGCTGTTAAGCCTCATGGCGTGCATTGGTAGCGGCAGCCCCTCATCGTGTTACCCCATGGAAAACTGGATCTTGGGGAGCTAGTGCTGCTACGTTGCTCCAACCCAGAGGTCTGACGATTTTATTTCTATACATATATAATTGTGGCATGCTGACTTGTTAGCTTACAAGTAGGTAACATCTTAGACTTTTCACAATTTTGGACTTAATATTTATTCGAATGACTCCATGTAGTCACTAGCCTTGCCACTGTACTCTTTTTTAAGTGAAAGTTTTGGTAGATGGTATAATAGAATATTGTGGAAATCAGAGTATTTGTAAATTTTAGAGCAAAAGGTACTCTTGTTTTGTCCTCTAAGTCAACTTTCTCAATTAACAAATAAGGAATGGTGGCCAATGATATTTAAATGACTTTTCAGGACAAATAATCTTAGGGTCTAATGAAATCTTCAAGAAAAGTAGCTAGAAATCCTCTAGTGAGACCCACTTCCTTCTTTCCTGAATCATACATTCTGGTACATTCTGTAAGTTATTATGTTTACCAGTCTTTCTCTCAAGGATACATCTCTCAAGGATCTCTCAAGGATGCATCTTCCAGTAAGATTTCAACTCCAATTGAGAAATGCATTCATCTAGTTTTGTTGTTTGATTAATGTTTTTTTTTTCTTTCATTCCTCCCTGCTTGTTTTCCCCCCTTCCAGCTGCAGTATTGTCACTGCCTGGGGATCTTACTGTCAGTCCATCTGTGTCCCAGCCACAGTAACTTGGACAATTAATCTTGGCCTCAAAAATGCCCATGCATTCTGTAATAATATTTGGAGGGTGTCATAATGGCAATTCTCTGCGGATGAGGCTTTGAAAGAACTCCAATTCCCTTCTCTCCTCCTCAGTTCAGCAGTTTCTAGGATGCTGGTTTTTACTGTGATTGTTTATGTTGCTCTTCAAGGCTATCTTGGAGCTGGAAGGAGAGTATCAAAGGGATAGGGCAAGTTAAAACATCACAAAGAATACTGCTCTTAATGAGCTTCGTTCATTTTTCTAGAATAAATGCTCCCCTGATTGTTTACCTCTGAAAAAAGTCTTCTGAAGAGTTTGGTTAATTTTCAAAGTTTTGAAAGAGTTGATTTTGACAATATTTTCCAGTCTTCTCCTTGCTTTTATGAGGGGGAGAGTTTTCAAAAGTCCTTACTCTGTTATTTTTGTTGATGGCCACTTGAGGTTGTTTCAATTTATATAGGTCTCTGCTCTTAGTGTGTGGATGTATGTAAGAAATATATATTATGTCAAATCTGGAATATAGTGTTTATTCATTCTATAAATAGTGATTCAGGACCTTTTAATTCAAGTCTCTCTGCTAGATACTGAGATTTACAAAGCTGACATATGTGCTCTCTACCTAAAAGAGCTTACAATTTTTGAGGAATACAGGTAAAATAGACAACTGCATTTCAGTGTGATCATTAACAAAAACAAAAACACCAGTATCATGGAAAAGGAAGAATCTTGTGAATTAGGATGTTATGAGATATGTTATCAATGGTGTGTGTGTGTGTGTGTGTGTGTGTGTGTGTGTGTGTAACTATGAAGGGTGTGGATATTCTAGAAAAAAAATTACCAGAATCCATCAAGAGGGAGTATGTATAATTTTACTATAAGCAGCAGAGTATGATACTTAAAAGCACAAACTCTGAGGATAGACTTCCAGGTTCAAACCCTGGCTTTGCTGTTTCTAAGCCATAAATTTAAGCAAATCACATAACGTCTTTGAATCTCAGTTTCCTCTTTGGTAGATGGAGTTCCTACAGGTAATTCATAGAGTTGCTGAGGATAGAATAAGTTAATATTCATGGCATACAACAGTGCCTGGTAATGGTGTTATAGAAATAGTTATCATTTACATATAGAAAATATAAAAAAGAAAAAATTACAATATAAACTATAGTAAAGTAAAACTTAACAAAATGTTGTCAGTTGGTGAGAGCTCCCAGGAGAAACAATGATTGTCAATGTTGCAGGGGAGTCAGATACCTCTCAGAGTGTATGCAAATCTCTGGTCAAAAGCATAAATCTGTGATCATCTGGAGACCTCAGTGTAAAAAGGTGGAGAAACACAGTCCAAAGGTACATAAATGTTGGCATTTTCAACATACTCTATTAGCCTCCCTAACCTCTGAACAGTCGGTAGAAATGTAGTGTCTTTTTTTATCCAAATAATCAGTATTATGTCAGGAGTCAAACTTTTAACTATACACTTAAGATCCCCAGAATCTACAATGAACTCAAACAAATTTACAAGAAAAAAACAAACAACCCCATCAACAAGTGGGCGAAGGATATGAACAGACACTTCTCAAAAGAAGACATTTATGCAGCCAAAAGACACATGAAAAAATGCTCATCATCACTGGCCATCAGAGAAATGCAAATCAAAACCACAATGAGATACCATCTCACACCAGTTAGAATGGCGATCATTAAAAAGTCAGGAAAGAACAGGTGCTGAGAGGATGTGGAGAAATAGGAACACTTTTACACTGTTGGTGAGACTGTAAACTAGTTCAACCATTGTGGAAGTCAGTGTGGCGATTCCTCAGACATCTAGAACTAGAAATACCATTTGACCCAGCCATCCCATTACTGGGTATATATCCAAAGGATTATAAATCATGCAGCTATAAAGATACATGCACATGTATGTTTACTGCGGCACTATTCACAATAGCAAAGACTTGGAACCAACCCAAATGTCCAACAATGATAGACTGGATTAAGAAAATGTGGCACATATACACCATGGAATACTATGCAGCCAAAAAAATGATGAGTTCACGTCCTTTGTAGGGACATGGATGAAGCTAGAAACCACCATTCTCAGCAAACTATGGCCAGGACAAAAAACCAAACACCGAATGTTCTCACTCATAGGAGGGAATTGAACAATGAGATCACATGGACACAGGAAGGGGAACATCACACACCGGGGCCTGTTGTGGGGTGGGGGGAGGAGGGAGGGATAGCATTAGGAGATATACCTAATGTAAATGACAAGTTAATGGGTGCAGCACACCAACATGGCACATGTATACATATGTAACAAACCTGCACGTTGTGCACATGTACCCTAAAACTTAAAGTATAATAATAAAATTAAAAAACAAAGAAGAGTTAAGGGTTTGCCCTAGGGAGTCGAGAAAGCCCACAAAGCTCACTGCTAACATGCATTAAATGACATACCATTCCTCAAATTTACTTTTGGACTAAAACCTCTTCAATCATACAAGGCACAGGAAACGTATGGCCCCTTCAGTCAAGGTGACTCTAAGCTGTTGACTTGACAAAGAACTTATCTTGGACTGTGGGCAGAGAAATGTTTAACTGGGCAATGGCCTGATGCCATTTCTCTCCCAACATTTTGTTTTTCTTTTTCAGCTAGGGTTTTGAGACAGCAAGTCACAATACAAGAGAGAGATGAATTCCTTCATAAAAACAAATAGCAGTACTGAAATCTCAAATTTGGTTTGTATCTTAGGGGAGCCTCAGGCTTCTTTTTTTTCCAGTTAGAAAGCAATCTGATGGAGTGAGGTGAAATGCGAGAAATAAAGAGGCAATGCATGATTGCTCTGGATTATGTATAAATATATATTTTCATTTCAGTTTTCTGTGGTGAAAGAATATAGGTCCAGAATATATGGTATCACTTGAGTCAGCTGTAAATGATGTATGAAATGAAAAATTCTCAGGGGCATGGCTCTGCAAACACTGTCATGCTAGGCCATTCACAGCTGTGTTAAGCTTAAAGACAACAGAAAAATCTAGGATTTTTTTCTTTTTGCCAAAAAGGACAGTTTGCAGGTATGCATATGAAAGTACAAAATACAAATATGCAAACACAAAATAACTCTTGAAGATTATTCATTTAAAAACGTTCATTCACAAAACAATTACAAGAATATTTTTTCTCTCAGAATGTGTTCTTTTATGTATCTCTTATATACAATTGCCAAGAACATAGAGAAAATGTTTAAAGTATATTTTTAATATATTGTTTTGGAACAGACACCAAAATGTAAGCAAAAATGAAACAAAAAGATGCAATTGCATAATTTTTTATCTGGAGTAGTTGATGAGGACGGAGTGTTAATGAAGCCAAGGCCAAGGTTTAGCCCCATGAAGTGTTGTTAAGAGCTCTTGGTTTTCTTATCGTATCATAGTTGGCCCTGCATATGGGGTTGGTCTCAAAGTACGCTGTGGGAGAGCAGGACTAGGTCAAAGAAAGGCTGATGGTCTCTGAGCTCTACCCATCCTAACCTGAAGGCTAAGTTACAGTCATCTCTTACATCTAGGAGATGGTTTCTCTCAGTGGAGTCTCATTCTCCATTCCAGACTGCAATTGGTCAGCCCTCTTTGGGGCAAAATTGTGTCATATCTGAAAAAGTGTTATGTCACTCTGATACCTCAGTAGCTGTTTTCTTTGTATGTAAAGCCCCCTCAAGTAGTATAATTTGAGAGATTAATTTCATTCTTGGAGCATGTCTTATAATTGTGTTAATTCACTTTTTCCCATTAATTTCTGGCTTATCCAAAAAGTCAATGACAGATAATACTGTCACGTGAATATTCCATGTAATACTGTTCATGTCTCAGTTTCTTTTACTAGTGAAAGGGGAAAATGGAATTGGTTCTGGGCGTTGGGCTGAGAGCAGAACCATTTAATAGCTGGCATACTACCTCTGTGTTGTCTCTCCCTGGGTTCTGAGAGCCATGTGTTCCAAATGGCCTAGCTACAGACAATAGGTCCTATACTAACTGTGCGTGTGGAGTAACCCCTACTCCATATTTGTCTTGTAAAATGAATGTAAAATAAACTTTATTAAGTTAGCTATTGAGATTGGCAGTAAATTTGTTAACATCCATCTCCTATTTGACTCTGAATACCAAATTTCAAACGCTTTGCAAATAAATGCATACATGAATTTGGAGTGTCATTTTGAATGTGGGAAAGTATATTCACCTGTCATTTTTTTCAGCTTTATTTGGTGTGTAATTTGCAGAAACAAATTGTATATATTTAAGGTAAACAATGTGATGTTTAAATGTATGTATCTATTTACAATAATCACCACAAATTTCAATTGTACAATATTAACTATAGCCAGCTTGCTATACATTAGATTTTAAGAGCTTACTCATCCTGCATAACTGCAATTCTGTACACTTTGACCAACATCTTCTCATTTGCCCCTCCCCTCACACCCTCACAACACCATTTGACTCTCTACTTTTATGAGCTTGACTATTTTAGATTTCACATATAAGTGAGATCATGCAATATTGGTCTTTTGTGTCTGGCTTATTTCATATAGCCTAATGCCCTGCAGGTTCATCCATGTGTCATCAAGGACCAGATTTCCTTCTTTTTTTATGACTAAATAATATTCAGCCACTATGTATAATAATGAATAAATCAATGAATAAGGAAAAAGTAGTATGAATAAAGAAAAAATGGATAAAAAAGGAAATATATAAGAAAGAAAAATAGTATGTATATAACATTTTGTTATATATATATTTAAAAATGGCATATATATGAAAAAGAATGACATATATGTTATTCAATTATATATACATAAAACTTTGCCCCATACATAAATATATATGCCAATTTTTTAACCCATATTTTGGATATGGACATTTAAGTTGTTTCCATATCTTGGTTATAGTGAATAATGCTGCAATAAATGTGGGAGAATAGAAATATCTTTCAGATCCTGATTTTGATTCTTATGAATATAAGCCCAGAAGTGGCTGCATTTTAAGATATATTTGTTTTTAATTTTTTGAGGAACTTCCATACTGTTTTCTGCAATACCCATACCAATTTTCATTCCCAACGGTGCACAAGGATTCACTTTTCTCCAAATATTTTGCCTATATTTTATCTTTCATCTGTTTTATAACAGTCATTCTAACAGCTATGAGGTGATATCACATTGTGGTTTTTATTTGTATTTCCATGGTGATTAATGATATTATTAAACATCTTTTCATATACCTGTTGGCCATTTGCATGTCTTCTTTAGAGATATGTTTATTCAGATCCTTTGCCAATTTCTAATTGGATTTTTTGGTTTTTGCTATTGAGTTGCATAAATTTCTCATACAATTGGAATATTAATCCCTTATCAGGTGTAAAGTTTGCAAATATTTTCTCCCACTCCATATGCTTTCTTTTTATTCTGTTGGTAGTTATCTTTTGTGCATAAGCTTTTTGTTAGATGTAATTCCATGTGTGCATTTTAACTTTTTTGCTTGCACTTTTGGTGTCATACCCAAAACATGCATTACCCAGACCAAGTCAAAAAGCTTTTTCCTATCTTTTCTTCAAGTAATAATAGGTTTACATTTATAGGTCTTACATCTATGTCTTAATTGACTTTAATTTTATTTTTATATGGTGTGATATAAGGGTTTAATTTTATTATTTTGCCTGTGGATATCCCATTGTGAGTTATTGGTAACCTTGTCGAAGATTAGTTGACTGTAAATGAATAAATTTACTCCTGGGCCATCTATTCTCTTTTATTTTACTCTGTGGCTGTCTTTTATGCCAGTACCAAACTATTTTGATTACTGTAGCTTTGTAATATATTTTCAAATTAGGAAATGTGATGCATCCAGAATGGGTCTTCTTGCTCAAGATGGTTGTGGCCATCTGGGGTGTCTTATACTTCTATATTAATTTTAGGTTTTAATTTTTCCTAGTTCTGTAAAGAATGCCATTGGAATTGTTTTTTTTTTTTTTGAGACAGAGTCTCGCTCTGTCACCCAGGCTGGAGTACAGTGGCGCGATCTCAGCTCACTGCACACTCTGCCTCCCAGGTTTACGCCATTCTCCTGCCTCAGCCTCCAGAGTAGCTGGGACTACAGGTGCCTGCCACCGCGCACTGCTAATTTTTTGAATTTTTAGTAGAAACGGGGTTTCACCGTGGTCTTGATCTCCTGACCTTGTAATCCGCCCGCCTTGGCCTCCCAAAGTGCTGGAATTACAGGTATGAGCCATCGCACCTGGCCGCCACTGGAATTTTGATAGAGATTGCATTCAATCTGTAGATCATTTTGGATAGGTAGACATAGTACAATATGAATTCTTCAAATCCATGAACATGGGATGTCTTTCCATTTACCTGTATTACTTGACTTTCCTCATTAATCTTTTATAATTTTCAGTATGCAACTCTTCCACGTCTTGAGTCATGTCATCTGCAAACAGAGTTAATTTTAGATTTTCCTTTCTGGTATATATGCTTTTATTTTATTTTTTTCTAATTTATCTGGCTAGAACTTCCAGTACCATGTTGAATAGAAGTGGTAAGAGTGGGAATTCTTGCCTTATAGAGAATCTTAGAGAAAAAACTTGTAATACTTTCCCTTGATTATGATGGTGGCTGTTGTCTTTTCATTTGTGTCCTTTATTGTGTTAAGTTTTTCTATACTTGCTTTGTGGTGTTTTATCATAAAAAGTGGTTGGATTTTGTTATGTCTTTTCTTCATCTATTGAGATAATCATGTGGTTTTGTCTTTCTTTCTGTTATTGTGATATAAATATATACATATATGTATATATACATACATACATATAAATATATATACTAATATGTATATATAAATATATAAATATATATACACGTGTATATATAAATATATATGTATATATAAATATATATACATATATGTATATAAAAATATATACGTATATACGTATATACGTATATATAGATATATACGTATATACGTATATACGTATATATAGATATATACGTATATACGTATATATAGATATATACGTATATACGTATATACGTATACATGTGTATATACGTATATACACATATACGTATACATGTGTATATACGTATATGTATACATTATATATACGTATATATACATATATGTATACATGTATATATAAATATATACATATATGTATATATTATACATATATGTATATATAATATATATATTATATATAATATATATATTATATATAATATATATATTATATATAATATATATATTATATATAATATATTATATATTATATATAATATATACATATATAATATATTATATATGTACATATGTACATAATGTATATATGTATATATATAATATATATGCACATGTATATATAATATATGTATATTATATATACATATGTATATATGTACATATTATATATGTATATATGTACCTATTATATATACATATGTATATATGTACCTATTATATATACATATGTATATATGTACATATTATATATACATATGTATATATGTACATATTATATATACATATGTATATATGTGCATGCATATATAATATATAATATATTATAGATTATAATATTATATACATATCATATATTATATACTTATATATACATGTATATATTATATACATATTATATATTATATACATATAATATATGTATATAATATATACATATATTATATATTATATATAATACATTATGTTATATATTATGTTATATAATATATATTATATAATATACATATATTATATATAATATATACATATATAATAAATAATATATAATTATATATATAATATATGCATATAAATATGTAATATATTTTATATTATATATGATCATATATAATATGACATATTATATATGATTATATATATGATATATTATATATGATTATATATATTATATATAAATATATGATTATATATAATCATATATATAAATATATGATTATATGATTATATATAAATATATATATATGATTATATGATTATATATAATTGATTATATATGATTATATATAAATATATGATATATGATTATATATAAATATATGATATATATGATTATAAATATATATACACAAGATTCAAGATGACAGGGATCTATTTTGTTTATTATGTAGTCCAAGCACAAAAGATGGTTTATAGTGCATTATAGAATATAAATATTTGATGGGTGAAAACTAACAGTGTAAAAAGGGCATATGTGCCATTCTAGAAGTCTGTAGATTCTCACAGAAACCACTGCAGGTGCAGTAGAAATGTCATGGAACAGAGGACAGCATCCTGGAGTGATAGCCCATGGGCTACCTGAATGTTAATAAATGAAAAACACAGGCTCAGAGGTCTGACACATAGCTGAAGATAAGCATATAGTAACCTTATTAGCACTTCGTCATTATTCTAAAGCCAAGTGCAATGGCTTGTCTCACTGAATGGGATAAGCCTGGGTGCTGTCAAATTCATATCATGAGTCACATATAACTTCAGATCCATGCTGATCATGCATGCACAGTAGTGTTACATTAAAACGTGACATTTTAAGATTAGTTTGCCAAATACAACCCCAAAGTATAAAATTGAATCCATGTTAAAAAATGTAACCGCTATTTATTGAAAAACTACAGGTGGGTGGTACTAATCTAGGGGATAAGTCATGAAGAAAACTAAGATTAAAAAGTTACATATTATTCCATAGTAACCCACAAAACTCCAGAAACCCCATTGCACATATACACCATGGAATATTATGCAGCCATAAAAAATGATGAGTTTATGTCCTTTGTAGGGACATGGATGAAGCTGGAAACCATCATTCTCAGCAAACTATCGCAAGGACAAAAAACCAAACACAGCATGTTCTCACTCATAGGTGTGAATTGAACAATGAGAACACATGAACACAGGAAAGGGAACATCACACACCAGGGCCTGTTGTGGGGTGGGGGGAGGGGGGAGGGATAGCATTTGGAGATATACCTAATGTAAATGAAGAGTTACTGGGCAGAGCACACAAACATGGCACATGTATACATATGTAACTAACCTGCACAATGTGCACATGTACCCTAAAACTTAAAGTATAATAAAAAGTAAAAAAGAGAAGTAAGGTATGTGGGCTATGCATTAATTTTGCTATTCTGTGGAAGAGTTTCCCCAAGGTCACTTTTGATGTTCTGCTGTTTTCTGTATACTTTTGTTTGAAGAAAATATGTAGCCATATTTCTTTATTATCCTAGGAAGCTTGTAAGAAACTTTCCCTGAACTGATTTTTTCTTCTTTTTTTTTGGTAACAACTCTACTGAGATATAACTCACACACCATAAACGTTATCTCATAAAGTGAACAATTCAATCATGTCTAGTATATTCACAATTAATTTAAGAACATTTCATTATCTCAGAAAAATATCCATACCTTTCAGCTACTACCCCAAATTTCCTCATTCTCCCAATTCCTAGGCAATCGTTAATGCACTTTCTGTCTTTATATATTTGACTATGGTGGAAATTTCACATAAATGGAATCATGTAACACATGGTCTTACGTAGAATGGTTTCTGTCACTTAGCATAATGTTTTCAAGTTTCATCCATGATGCAACATGTATCAGCATCTCATTCCTTTTAGTTGAGTGATAGTATTTACACTGTATCCACTGTATGGATGTATCAGATTGTATTTAACTATTACTCACATAATAGCTATTTGGATTGTTTCAACTTTTTGGATATTATTAACAATGCTCCTGTGAACATTCATGTATGAGTTTTTTTTTTGGTAAATATACTTTTTTCAGTTTTCTGAGGTATATAGGCAGGCTTATAATCACTCGGTCAAATGGTAATTCTGTGCTTACCTTTCAGAGGAATTTATAAGAACAAGTGGCTCTACCATTTTATATTCCCTCAAAAACGGTGTGAGGATTCTGATTTTTTCACATCCTTGACAAAACTTGTTACCTTACTAATTTCAGTAGTAGGTGTTGAGTGGTACTTCACTGCTGTTTTGATTTATATTTCCCGGATGATTAAGTATGTCAAGCATCTTTTCATATGCTTGACTATTGGCTATTTGCATATTGGCTATTTGCATATCTTCTATAGAGAAACGCCTATTCAGTTAATTTGCCTATTTTTAAATGGGATCATGTTGATTTGTAAGAATTATTTTTGTATTTTAGATACAGGTTCCTTATCAGATATATAATTTGCAAATATTTTCTCCTATTCAATGTAATGTATTGAGCTGGTACTCAGCAGAATGGAAGGCAACTGTAGTCTAGTCTTCATAAACTAAACTTAGACTGCTTCACAGACTTCTTAGACTGCTTCTCCTAACAAGGAATCTCAGCTTTACAAACAGTCTACAGCACGGGGATGAGAACCCCAATATTCTCAATGTGTTGCACCTAAAATAGAGCTTCCATTTTATCAGCGGCGCCTGAGCAGAGAAAAAAACCCCTCTCTTGGTTGTAATTGCTAAGAAGTTAGCCTCTGCAACTGGCAGCTGGGGAAAGGATGAGAAATGCTGACATCCCCATTTTATAAAGATATGATTTCCCTCTGACTGGGATCTGGGGAAAAGGGAGTCCTGTGTTCTCAATCTTTTCTGCTTTGCTTGTAGGTGGCCATATTATTCCTATGTCTTCACATGGGCTTTCCTTTGCACCTGATTTCTACTGAATTTTAGTAGCTTTTATAGTTATCCTTAAAGGTTATTCTTGAAGTAAGCTTTCTTGAAGAATAAATGTTCCTTCATTCACTATATTCTCATAGAATTGTTTCCATAGACTTTAAACAAATGTTTGGTTTTGAAAATGGTTTTCATTAGTTTTATCAGGGAGGATATCCATGGATCTCTTCACGTTGCCATCTTGAATTGGAACTTCTGAACTCATTCTCTCAAAATCCATTTTTAATGAAAAGATAGTATACATGTAACTAGAAGCTGATGAAATAGATTGTTGGAGTTAGCTGCTTATGAAGGAATCTGCTATCTGATCCACCTAGAAAATTGCCTGATTTTGCCATCACAGTATTGTTGCATTTGAATTGGAGTGACTTTTTCATACAAGTGCTTGTCATTGAACTAAAAGAAAATAAGCAGGAATTGCAATTGCACCAAGCTTAAACTAGTTTAGCTGTTTTTATCAGGAAATCAAAAGAGGTTTACATATAAGAGGGTTAAATAAGTATATCATGTGAGCCCATTCTGCCACACTTTTCCGTCTGGGTAAAAGGGTGTGGAAAAATCCACATATAAGTGGATTCATGCAGTTCAAATCCATGCTGTCAATGATAGATAGATAGATAGATAGATAGATAGATAGATAGATAGATAGATAGATAGAAGAGAGAAAGAGAGAGAGCATAAAAATCATGATAAGTAATGTACATCCTCTGCATCCGTTTTTTTCTTAGGGTTTCCATTCTCCAATGTGTACAACTCACTTGTTTCCTTGGATTATTTTTCTGGCCAATTCCTTGAAAGTTATAAATTGTGTTTTGTAAATAACTGGCTTCGATTTCATGATTCCACCCGATATAATTAAAGGGGTTTCCCATCATCCCTCACTCTGTTTTCTATGAGAGACACAATTCATACGTTACCCACGTGGAGGGTGACCTCCCTGATACCCCACTTCTATTCCAGACTGCTCTGTGTGCTCCCATATCACTGCGCTTACTTGCACCATTAGATTTTCCACCCTCTGTTAAAATTTCCCATTTATTCTTTTGAATTACACTGTAACTTTTCTTGAGGGAAGCAGCAATGTCTTATTCATAACTTTAAGCACAGGACCTCATACAATACATGGCAAACTATAGGTATTCAGCAAATATTCATTAAATTATATGGTTTAAATTTGCTCCCAAATTATTCGTGCATGCACACACACACATACACATATTATATATATATTCTTCCTATGTATATATTCTTCATATATATATTCTTCATATATATATTCTTCATATATATATTCTTCATATATATATATTCTTCATATATATATATAATCATCCTGTCTTCACATGGACTTTCATTTGCACCTCATGTTTACTGAGTTTTAGTAGGTTTTATTGTTATAAATCATGTTATGAATCATGAATTCGAAGCCTGTTACTTACAAAACACAATTTGTAACTTTCAAGAAATTGGCCAGAAAAATAATTCAAGTTTTATCAGCTTTATTATATATATATAATATATATATTTATAGATAAATAGTTGTTCCTTGGTATATGTGGAAGATTGGTTTCAGGACCCCTGCAGATACCAAAATCTGTGGATACCCAAGTCCCTCAGTCTGCCCTGCAGAACCCGCATATAAAAAGTCGGCCCTACATATTTGCAGGTTTTGTATCCCATGAATGCTCTGTTTTGATCCCCATTTGGTTGGGAAAAATCCACTTATAAGTGGGTCCATACAATTCAAACCCATGCTGTCAACGACAAATAGATAGATAGATAGATAGATAGATAGATAGATAGATAGATAGATAGAAGAGAGAATAAAGATCATGATAAATAATGTGCATCCTCTGCATCCATTTTTTTTCTTATGGTTTCCATTCTCTAATATGCATAACTCACTTGTTTTCTTGAATTAGTTTTCTGGCCTATTTCTTGAAAGTTATAAATTGTGTTTTGTAAATAAATGGCTTCGATTTCATGATTCCACTCGATATAATTAAATTGGAAAGGCTTCACTTTGATGACACTAATTTGCTGGTCCTGCTTTGACCATTGATAAGAATCAGTTCAAGATATACCCCCACATTGCTAAAGGAAGCAGTAATTTGCCACATTTATCATTTTCTGTCTCCTGTGGAGCATACTCACCAGGGTTTCTAAATTAATATGATGGAATTGAAGGTAACTGTAATTACAATATTCTATCTCATCCTCCATCATTCTTCATCCACAATGTTCCATTGAACTATATGAGAAAAGGAAAGACTACTTTCTTGTGTTATTATTTGCCATCAAACTGATTCATTATGTTTCTCTTTTGTTCCTAATTATAGTTATCCACCTTCCCCATCTCTAAAAGTAGAAACAATATGTCTTTGGCTCTTTGACATCTTTTATCTCCATATAATGCAAAGCTGTGTATAGCATGTAGGTTATAAATCAACAGATATTGAGAGAGAACCTATCATATGCAAAATATGGTGGAGAATTTGATAGCTATAAAATGACATACCTGATACTAGGGAGGTTAAAATCCAGTTGGAATAATGAGGCATGCATTAATAGCCAAAGAGATAAATATAGAAGAGTGGTGGTAATAACATCTTAAGGTTAAAGATTTAAGTAAGACTCTTCTTTAAGAGGCCAAGGAGATTTCATGGGAAAAGAAAGGTTTCAGATGGGAAGTTTATGAATAGGTACTTCAGGATAAATAGAGAGGATGGATATTAGGTACAAAGAATGTTATAAGAAAAAGTCAGAAATGAGCAAGTCACGTTATGGAGATGGCGCTCTTAAATAGAGAGTTTGTGTAGGTGTAAAATAAGAGATGGAGTTGTGCACACTGGGCTTGGGGACAATTGCAGAGGGTGTGGTGAGGCTGAAGACACTGATGTCTTTTGAACAGAAAACTCACCTGTGGACTGGAAAGTTTAAAGGAAATTGTGATTTCTTCCTGAACTGACTTATTTTTCTAATGTTCTCTTCTATTTTATCAACATCATTGTGGTATAATTTATATAAAATGAACTGCACCCATTTTAAGTGTATGCTTATCAAGTTTTGACAAATATGTACACTGTACTCACACAACAATCAAGACACATAATATTTTAATCACCTCCAAATTTTCTCCATGCCCCGTTGTAATCAACTTTCTCTTCTTACCACTATACGTTAATATACATTTTCTATTTTGAAAGGTTTTTACTTGGGATTTTCCTTGTATAAGTCCCAAGCAACATTTGATCATTTTTACTGTTAACCAAAACAAAAACAAATACATTTTCAACGTCCTAGTAAGACAGGATGGTACGATATGTATGTGGAGTGTGACTGCTGACTTACTGTAATTTGAGAGATCATATTGAATAATCTTCCATAAAATAAAATCCTGACTACATTTGCTTATGTCTTTATTTTACTTGGATATTAATAAAAAGTAACAATGTCAAGAATGTGACTAGGTACATGAGCAAGAGGTTGGCCATTGATAATTTATATCTTTTGTAGGCATTTAATTAAAAATTCATTTCTAATTGTTAGGGTTTTCTTCAAAGAAAACCCTCTGAAAACCCTTTGGTCTCTGAAAAGAGACCAAAGTCTCTCTTTTCAGTTTCATATATTTTTGTAAGTCATAGGCTTATAGAGTTTATATGCTGAACTTACGAAATTTTCTAGCATCCTTAAAGTTTCCAGCCATAGAAAAACAAATATTTAGTACACAATTAATCTAATTATCCTTAATCTGGATGACTTCCTTATAATATATGTATTATACATAACATACATAAATATATGTATTATACATAACATACACAAATATATGTGATACATCACATACACAAATATATGTGATACATCACATACACAAATATATGTGATACATCACATACACAAATATATGTGATACATCACATACACAAATATATGTGATACATCACATACACAAATATATGTGATACATCACATACACAAATATATGTGATACATCACATACACAAATATATGTGATACATCACATACACAAATATATGTGATACATCACATACACAAATATATGTGATACATCACATACACAAATATATGTGATACATCACATACGCATATGTGATACATCACATACGCACATGTGATACATAACATATATGTGATACAAAACATACATATGTGATACATAACATATATATGTGATACTTAACATATATATGTGATACATAACATAAATATATGTGATACATAACATATAAATATACGTGATACATAACATAAATATACGTGATACATAACACATAAATATACGTGATACATAACATATAAATATACGTGATACATAACATAAAAATATACGTGATACATAACATATAAAAATATACGTGATATATAACATAAAAATATACGTGATACACAACATATATAAATATACGTGATACACAACATATATAAATATACGTGATACACAACATATATAAATATACGTGATACACAACATATATAAATATATGTTATATATAATAATATATAATACATATATAATACATATATAATATATATACATATAATACATATATTATATATATTTATATATTATATATAATATATATTATAAACATTATATATATATAAAAAATATATATATAGCAAGACTTTCTCTTAAGATTTGTGAATATGTCCATTTTGGGGCAACAATTCTTTTTTTTTCTGAGTCTGAATCTCATTCTGTAGCCCAGGCTGGAGTGCAGTGGCATGATCTCAGCTCATTGCAACCTCTGCCTCCCAGGTTCAATCGGTTTTCCTGCCTCAGACTCCCAAGTAGCTGGCATTACAGGCACCCACCACCACACCTGGCTAATTTTTGTATTTTTAGTAGAGATTGGGTTTCACCATGTTGGCCATGCTGGTCTCAAACTCCTGACCTCAAGTGAACCACCTGCTTTGGCCTCCCAAAGTGCTGGGATTACAGGCGTGAGCTACCATGCCTGGGGGCAAAAACTTTCCTTTCTGTATTTTATTTTTGTTTTGTTTGTTTTGTTTAGAGCATTAGAAAAAAATAGAGTACCTCTTTGTATACTTCAGTGAAATTCTTATCATTAACTTATTGTTTAGTGACTGGAGACAAAAGAAGAGTAAGACCGTACCACACAATGGAAGCCATCTCAATCAAATGATTTTTTTTTACAACTTTGTTTTTTCTAAATGTAATAGTAGAACGAAACTTGGAAGATAATTTAACACATACATTTTAAGAAGCAAAAAGCAAAGTGTAAAAACAAAAATCACCTACATTTGTTTGTCAATTTATTCAAAAACCCTTTATTAACTGTCTACAAAAGGCCAGGCAACAATGTGCAGCAGGGTATAGAGTAGAAAACAAAGTAGACCTTCATCGTTGTCCTCATGAAAGATACATTCTTGTGGGAAACAGCAAATAGAAATTTTTGATAATACAAAAAAAAAATTAGTGAATCTATGCTATGGCCGCTAATAAGAAGGAAGCAGCTACAAGAGAGAGAAAAGTGCTAAGATGTGAATTTTTAAAAGAATAATCATAGAAAGACTCATTGTGGTGATAATATTTAGGCAAAGGCCAGAAGGAGGTAAGTGAAGCTAATATTTGGGGGAAAATAATTCCAAAGGTCAATGCCCTGAGTGAGAAGTTGCCTAGCTTGCCCACAAATGACTGACAATGCCAGTGAAATCCAATGACTAGCATTATACATCAAATATATATGTTTGATCTATACCTAAATATATACTTCATATGCATCAAAATGAAGTATATATATTTTGGATCCATTGGTTTTACTTATTTCTCCCATTTATAGCTTGTGTATTTTTTTTAACCAACCATGTAATTTTTGCCAATATCATTAAAAACAGGCTTAAAAAACAGTTTTCAAAAACATTTTTGAAATGCAAAACACACCATAATGGACATACCATTATTTACTTAAACATTACTTCTGCTATGTATTTATTTATTATTGAAAATCATTATAAGAATTACTGCAATGAACATCCTTACATAGAGATATTTGCCCATATTTCAGATTATTTGTTTAGCCACAGTGAGCAGAGTGGTGGCTAACTTTGGAATTTAGAATGATGTTCAATGGAGTAATTAACCCATTTCACATCCTCAGCATGTAGTAACAGTTCTTTCTGGAGATTCCATTATGTGCATAAGAAAGACAGTAAGAGGAGAGAGATATCCTTAAGTCATCAAAACTAACTGGATTATCTTTTCCTCAAAGGAGAGAAAAATAGCACATTCTGGTATCAGTTGATGCAAATTGGCATTTAAAAAATCAGAGTTTTTGGGTTTTGGAGGAAATGTTCTCTTAGATTATAGAGACAAACAAAAAAATTGCCACTAGTGCAAATTGCAAACAAACCAAATATATTAATGAGTTGTTACCTAGTCAATAAGTTGTGAGTGGAGAACAAATAAACATCTAATTTGTGGGATATAAATTTAAATTTTTCCCCTGTGTGTTCTTCCTTCTAGGAGGGAAGGAAAGAGGGAGAGAAGAAATGAGGAATGGAAGGAAAGAAGAAAGGAGGGAATGAGGGATGCAGGGAGGGAGGGAGGAAGGAAGGAGAGAGAGAAAGAGAGAAAAAGAGAAAGATAGAAAAAGAAAGAAAGAAAAGAAAGAAAGAAGAAAAAAGAAAAAAAGGAGCAAAAGAGAAAGAGAGAAGCAAAAGAGAGGAAGAAAAAAGAAAGGATAAAAGGACAGAAGGAAGCAGAGAAGAAAGGAAGGAAGGAAGGCGAGAGAGAGATACCGAATTTAAAGGCCAACTTCAGAGAATGAGTGTCTAAAATTAGACTTGTTCACCTTCACAATAACCCAGATACCCTTAAACTCCCACCAATTCTTTGTTGGTAAGAAATAGGGAAAATATAAATAAAAAGTAAAAACTCATGATCACTGGAGACCAGTAGATATGGGAAGACTGACAATAAACTATGAATAAAACAACAAGTATGTGGGGCTTGGACAGAGATGGCCCATAGCTCAGCTCTCTCCACTTTGGAGAATGCAGTCATACAGAATTACACAAGAGAGCTCAAGGCTTGCCTAGAAACCTGGCTGTCCAACCTGCAGTGAAGGACTGTGCTGTTTGGTGAACACCCAAAATTACAGAATTACAGTACCACCTTTCTCAGATTGTCTCCTAAAATGCTGTGAAATTCAGGTGGTGGTAGTGGTGATATTTGTAAGATATTAACTCACACCTTCGGACAGCCTCCTGACAGCCTGAGTTTCTCCTAGTTTTTATAAAGTAGTTATTATAGTGGCCACAACAAAAGATCCTAACATTTCTTGAACTGCCAATTAGGCCCAAAAGCAAAAAACTTTTATTTTTCGCTTTTTAATAAAAGGATAGTTGTAAGTCTTTTATTTCACTGGTTTCAGTTAAATGGATAGCTTCATTTTCTCTTTCAAAATGTTGTATGGAAATCACGACCCAAACTCAAAAATGTGGTGAAGGATACAGAGAGAAAGAGTTAAACATAAAAGTAACAGTGGTCTAAATAGCATGGTTTTATTGGATTATAAGGAGAGCAACGGATAATATGGTTGGTTGGCATGTCGCCTACATCCATCCTTCTGGGGTATTAGTGTAAAACCTTCTTAATTAAGAAATGATACTTTTCCCTAAATGGCTCATGGAAAATGGATCAAGGTCTTAGATAGCATCTGGTGACTGAGCTGCTCAGAATTGCCGAAGACAATTTTCTTTATTTTCAATCACAGCCTGGACATGATACAAAAATCACTGAGGAAACATTCCTAAAATATTCACTTTTAAATATTAGTGAATAAAACCTTCGTCTGGTAGAGTTGAGTGTTAGAATAATCAGAACATGAATTACAGTTCTGGGCTTTCCTATGATTAGCAATCTACATCAAAAAATTTAATTTCAGGTGTCATCTTTAATATTGAATTTTTGACATCTAGTCAGGTAAAGTTGTTGGGTTATATAGAAATACACAAGAAAAAAAAGTTCATCATTCAATGACTGTACCTAACAGACTCACAGTAAATGGCATATATTTCTTTTTTTCTTCTACCCCAATCCAGAAACAACGTAATGCCTCAGAATTTTTCTGTAAAGTTTTCCTCCGTAGCATAGGTTCTCAAATTTTGCTGGGATTTTGTACAAAATCACCTGAAAAACTTTCTTGAAATGTACAGATAGCAACAGGAGGCAGCCAAATGCCTAGGCAGATAGGATCAGGTACACAATGAAACCCCACCTCCAAGCTGAAGACTAGTTTAAAGCCCCAAAACCAAGCTATGAGTTAAACCCTTGGACCAGAATGAGAACTTGTCTTTCTGTTTGGTGCGCTTTCCTCTGATTGATCCCCACCTTTCACCTATTTAAATATACCTACCCTTTCCTAATTGCTTTTCTACACTGTCTTACCCACCTTTGAGTGATATCTTTGCTTCAACCTTTTTTGCATACTCACCAACCAATCAGCACACACTCCCCATCCTGTGTCTATAAAGACCCCAGAGTCAGTCAGTAGAGGAGGAGATGGCCTGACTTTAGGCAAGAGACAACATGACTTAGGGGAAGACAACCTGTCCTTTCTGTTCCCTCTCCAGATCCCCTCTCTGCTGAGAGGCATTTTCATCACTCAATACAATTCTCTGCCTTCACCAATATTCAACTGTCCATGTGACCTCATTCTTTTAGGATGCTGGAAAAGAGCTCGGGACCCACCAAGTAGGGGTACCCAGAAAAGGCTGCCACAGTGGTCCTTGCTCTTGCTGGTGGAGGACAGCTGCCCCATGCAACAAGACAAGGGGCCAACTGAGCTGCCAACATGCCACCATCCATCACACTGGGGATGGTGGAACTAAAGGAGCACTGTAACACCCTCTCTGCGGCTTCAGGGTCACAGGCATCCTCGCACCTGGTCTGGTCATGGGCCTTGCATGAAGCTTGCTCCTGTGTCAGTGCCCAGAGCTGCTGGCTGGATCCTTTACTCACTTGCTCACGTGTTCCCTCCCACAAGGGACCGAGTGCAAGTGTGGCGGGCCAAGTAGGGGGGGCACCCCTGCTGTGAGTCAGATGAAGGGGATGAGAAAAATCCTGCATCAGTACCTTTCCCAAATTCTGTGCTTAGAGATTTTGATTCAGGCAGTTTTGAGTGTAGCAAGATTCTACATTTTATCAAATTCTCCCTGTGACTCTAATGGTATTTTAAAGACATTAACATTTGCTACCCTTGGTCTATTTACAGTGAATTTCCTTTGTATTACCAAATAATTGCATTTTCCCCAATTACTGAAAATTCTTTTGTGAATTCATATATGTGTCTTTTAATACATTTGTTTATGTATTTATTAACAACTTTAACATCAGCTCTTGAGTTGTTATTATACTTGTCAGAATCATTCCTGAACTGTTAACTTCTGATACTTTATACTAAACTGGAAAGGGTATTTATGTCTTTATTTTTCAACAAAAGAAAACAGAGAAATTAAGAGCAAATATTCTTTATTTAGGAGAAGACCTGTAACTGACATATAGCAGTGTATTAGTTCATTTCTATACTGCCATGAAGAAATGCCCAAGACTGGGTAATTTATAAAGAAAAATAGGTTTAATGGGCTGGGCACGGTGGCTCACGCCTGTAATCCCAGCACTTTGGGAGGCCAAGGCAGGTGGATCACGAGGCCAAGAGATCGAGACCATCCTGACTAACACAGTGAAACCTTGTCTTTACTAAAAAAAAAAAATACAAAAAATTAGCTTGACGTGGTGCCTGTAGTCCCAGCTACTCGGGAGGCTGAGGCAGAAGACTGGCGTGAACCCGGAAGGCAGAGCTTGCAGTGAGCCGAGATCGCGCCACTGCACTCCAGCCTGGGCGACAGAGCGAGACTCCGTTTCAAACAAAAAAGAAAAAAATAGGTTTAATGGACTCACTGATGGAGACCTCACAATCATGGCAGAAAAAAAGGAGGAGCAAAGGCAGGTTTTACATGGCAACAGGCAAGAGAACCTGTGCAGGGGAACTGACCTTTATAAAACCATCAGGTCTCATGAGACTTACTATCATGAGAACAGCAGGGGAAAAACCTGCCACCATGATTCAATTACATCCCACCAGATCCCTCCCACACCATGTGGGAATTATGGGAGCTAAAATTCAAGATGAGATTTGAGTAGAGACATAGCCAAACCATATCAACAGGACACTCCTTAAACATTCAAACTTACAACAAAAATATTTTAAATGAGACATCTACAAGATGCTTCCTAAAAATGTATGTTTGCGTTTAAGTGGTCTTGGGCATTCAAAATGGCTTAGAAAAAATGCAAACATGTAGGACATGTTTTTTATGAATTTGGAACCAATCTCAAAGAACAGTAGCAAAAACAAAGAAAAACAAATCAAAGGCCACACAAGAAAACAAGAAGTAACCAAAATCTAATGTTTTTCCTTGGAAAGAGATTGCTCAATGTTTTCTATTGGATTGAGTTGATAAATTGTGGTAAGCAGAAAATGTTGACTGCAAAATATAAATTCAACTAATATAGACTTGGGGATAACTTGATTCATTCAAGAAAAATTTGAGCCAAGTATTGATTAATTCGTCTGATTTTAAACTTGATCTTTATAGGATTATAGCGCAATTGACAACACTTAGTAATAGATCCTTTACTACGTATGGGCATGAAAATGCTAAATTAAATTGAAATTGACATTTCTATTTGAATTTTTCTTTAAACAATCAGATTATTGTCACTATTGAGTCAGCTGATCACATTTTTACTGGACAATTCCCTATTTTTTCCCTCTTTCTTTTTCTTTTTCTTTTCTGTCCTTATTCTCCTCTTTCCCTTCTTTCCTCTCTCCCCTCTCTCTCTTCCTGCCCCCCTTTTTTCTTCCTCCCTCCCTCTCAGAATTAAAGAATTCATGGACGGTATGGCAAGCTACAAATCATGAATTCATAATTATAAAAAATAACAATAAAACATTCATTTTTTTTTTTTTTGAGACAAAGTCTTGCTCTGTTGCCCAGCTCTGTCACCCCGGCTGGAGTGCAATGATGTGATCTCAGCTCACTGTAACCTCTGCCTCCCACCTCAGCCTCTCGAGTAGCTGGGATTACAGGCGTGTGCCACCATGCCCAGCTAATTTTTGTATTTTTTAGTACAGACAAGATTTCACCATGTTGGCCGGCTGGTCTTGAATTTCTGACCTCAAGTGATGCGCTCACTTCAGCCTCTCAATGTGCTGGTATTACAGGCATGAGCCACTGTACCTGGCCAATAAAACATTCTTTGTAAGAAGTTTTTATGTGCACTTTTTTTTTATTCCATTGAGATCTGGCTAAATAACAGTCTCCCTTAAGTAAATGATAGTTTTTTTTTTTTATAAAGAGGTCAAGATCAAGAATAATAATAGCTACTAGGGTGTGTTTCTGATTCAAAAATTAATGTAAGAACATTTAATGTTTTAATACATGGTTATAGCAATTGATTCAAAGTACAGTATAATTGTATGATGCATTAGTGTCCTCAAAACAAACTCTCTTTGCCTCACACTAATCTTTTGGGGTTATTTTCAAAATTCAAAGAAATAAATGCGATTTCTGAGGTTTTAAGACCTCAAAACTGCAAATTGAAAATATTCATTTAAATATAAAAATCAAACTGTTATAATATTTAAAATTCATTATCCCAATTAGTGACATACAGAAGAAACCTTATCTTTTAACCCTCTCCAATCTTACTCATGAAATTTAATGTATTTGTTCAATGAATGTGTGACTAAACAAATGATATAAAAACACACAAATGAATAATTTACAGGTCTTAAGGCCACATTTGGCTCTTATTTTCTTTTTTCTTATTCACATAATGTATTAGATTATGAATATGCTGGAGTCATTTCAAAGCTGTGAGGCCTCCTTCCTTGCTAGTACATGTTTCAATATCAACCTACTGCCCATTTCTCCATCCTCACAAAAATGAGAAATGAGTTGCTCTGACAATAGAAATGAGTCAAAATAGCTTTAGTTTGCTAGTTTAGTTACATTCTATGCTTGCTTTATTCATGCATATAGGTATCCACCATAGCAGAAGTATTGCTGACTTTGTAGTTCTCAAACTTCAAATTAGAAATGAATATTAATGCTATTTTTGAGAACTCTTGACGTTTAATTCTATGCAAGTTAATTTAAATATTATATCTCTAAGTGAGATGATTGTAATAAAAAGGAACTTTAGGATAAACCAAAATTGTCATCATAAAATTCTGCATCCGTACCTTCCTATACCTTAACAATGAGAGATTGGTGAAAATTTGTGAGATATCTGAACGTTTGTACTTTTCTAAGACTGAGAGCATCACATTAATAAAAGTGATACTCTCCTAGTAAATTTGATCAAGGAGATAACAAGAATATTAATTCCTAATATCAAAAATGCAGAGGCAAACACTACTAAAAATTCTACAGACTCTAAAATCATAAGATGATATTATGAATAACTTACTGCCAATATGTTTAACAACCCAGATGAAATGAACAAATTTCTTCAGAACACACTTTTGTCTGCTGAAACTGGTACAAAAAATGTGGAAAATTGAATAATCCATCTATTGAAGAAATTCAAACAATAATTTAAAATGTTCTTTCAAAGAAAACTTTGGGCACAGATGACTACACAGTTTAATTTATGTTAGAATAAAACCAATCCTCACCAAATTTTTCAGAAAGCAGAAAAGAAATAAATATTTTTCAACTTATTTTATGAGGCAAGTATAGTCCTGACACTAAGGCCTGAGAAGAATATTATAAGAAAAGCAGACTGGGCACAGTGGTGGCTCGCTTTGGAAGTCTAAGGCAGGAGGAAGTCTTGAGTCTAGAAGTTTGAGAGTAGTCTGGGCAGCAACATAGTAAGACCTTGTCTCTGCAAAAATGTTTTTAAAAAATTAGCAGGGTGTCATTGTGCATGCATGTAGTCCTAGTTCTACTGGAGGCTGGGGCAAGAGGATTGCTTGAGCTCAGGAGATGGAGGCTGCAATGGACTCATGATAACGCCACTGCACTCCAGCTTGGGTGACAGAGTGAGACCCTGTCTCAAAAAAATAAAAAAGGAAGGAGGGAGAGAGGGAGAGAGAGAGAGAAGAGAGAGAGAGAGAGAGAGAGAGAGAGAGAGAGAGAAAGGCAAATTATAAGCTCATATCACTGTGAACATAGATGCATAAAACTGAATTCAGTTATTTTAAAAAAGGATAATCCATCTGACAAAGTAAGATTTATTTCACACACAAGGTAAGACTAATATTTGAAAATCAGAGTATAATTCACTACATATATGTATGTGTCTGTTTATGTACATATTTACATACTCATTTGGATGGATTCAGAAAAAGAATATAACACTTTAGCACTCATGTATTATAAAAACTCACACATAATTTGATAAAGGGTATCTAAAATATAGAAAAACTAAAATTAACATCTTTCTTAATGTTAAAATGTTAAAAGCTTTCCTCAATATGAGGATATCTACTGTGATAACTTCTTTTTTACCTTACACTGGTAATGTTACCTATATCATAAGGCAAGAAAAAGAAATGTTAAGTACAAAGAAAGAGAAAGGAGTAAACTGAGATTTTTTTTGCAGGTGACATAATTTTATGCACAGAGTACTCAAAACTAACAAATATCAAGCTATTCTAAATAACTAGTGGATTTAACATAATCACTTGAATGAAGGTCAATATGCAAAAATCAATTGTATTTCAAGATATTACCAAAAAGCTATTCAAAAGTGGAGTTAACATAAAAATATCATATATGAAAACATCAACATAATTGTGTCTGTATATAAATCTAATAAAACATGTGAATTACCACAAGCTGGACGCTTCAAATCATTATTGAAATAAACTAAAGCAGAAGATAATATTAATGATATATACTTTACTCATATTTAGAAAGATCCATTATTGTTAAGAAATAAATTATTTTCAAATTCACCTATAGATTCAATATAATTCCAAGCAAAAAACCGGCAAGCTTTTTTGTGTGTGTGGAAACATAAAATACTTTAAAAGTCATATAGAAAATTGAAGGACCTGCCATATCCAAGATAAACTTCTAGAAAAGGAAATGTCACAGATACTATCCAACTGTGGCTCATTACAGAATTAAAGTAATTAGGATGATAGGGTGTTTGTGCAATGATATGAATAATACTGGAACAGAACAGAAGTCCAAAAATAGACTCTGAAATAAAATGTCCTTTAACTTATAACAAAAACATCACAGTAATTTTTCAAGAAACGATGTTGTGGCAATTAAACATTAATTTTAAAAATGAACCTTGCCTGTGTATTGTAACACTCATCTAATTAATTTGATTTAGATCACAGGCCCAAATACAAAAGGCAAAGCAACTAGTATTCTAGAAGAAAGCATAGAAACATATCTTCATGACTTAGTGTAGAAAAATTGTACTAAATTTGACACAAAGCATTAATCATCAAATAATTTATAAATTGGATTTTAATAGGATTAAAACTTTTAAATCAAATGTATAATTAAAGGAGTGAAAGACAACTCACACACTGAGAAAAGGCCTTCATAATACATAATGTCTGATACGAACTTGTAGAAATCTAATTCAATAAATATGAATATATATTTCATATATATATATGAAAGATAAGACTAGAGCAGATATTTTATAAAAGTAGATATCCAAATAAGCATATGGGAAAATGATGCATATTGCCAAGAAAATGCGAATAAAAACTCGCAATGAGATAACACTGCACACCCAAAAGAATAGCTATATATGAAAAGTCTGACTACATTAAGTGTTGTTGTCATTACAGAACAACTGAAACAGAAATTCCATTTCTAATTATATTCTCAATTTAAATGAAAGGTATGAATATTTTAAATGAAAATATCTGATCATAAGAAGATTTGTATAAAATCTTCATAACACCCTATTCACAATAGCCCCAAGTGGTAAACAATCCAAATATTTATCAAAAGGAAAATGAATAAATACATGATGATATTTTCAAACCATGAATTACCAAACAGCAGTAAAAGTAATGCACTCTACACTCAACCACATGGATGATGTATCAACATTTTGTTGAGCTTAAGAAGCTGCACAAAGAGTACTCACTGCCTCATTAAATTTGTACAAAATCAAGAACTTGCACAACGAATTGATAGTAAAAGAAAGTCACAACTAAAATACACCCATTAACTTTTCCTAGAATACCACTGATTGTGAAAGAACGCTAGGTAACTTTATGGTTTTCAGGAAGTGTTATATATCTTGCTCTTGTTCATGTTTACATCAGCGTATAAATATGTAAAATTTACTGACATGTAGACTTACAGTAGTGTATTTTGTACACTATATTGTTTACAGGATATCTCAATATCTATGAACAAATGTTTTTTAAAAGTTTGAAAAAAATAGCACATATCAGCAACAAAATGTAATAGAAATGTCTCTCATTATTGTCATCTCCTGAACAAATCTCAAGATGACTGATTCACTTTGTGACCCATTGTAGGATTTATTGAAATCTCTTTCCTTACTTATTTCACTTGCAATATCTCATACCTCACAGTTCATCAGAACTTCTCTCTAACCCTCCCTTACTTCGATTTCTACAAAGAAGTTGGGTTAAGTCCTGATTTATTTTGTGACCACCCATATTTCTACTTATATGTCTATGGATATGTTATTTTCTTATCTCATTTATTTTCTTTTACACCCAGTTCTACTTGATCATAAAAATTTCTATCTTCTCAACAGTCTTTGTTCAGTGCTGATTGATCATCACACCTTCATATTATGGCCTTCGAAAATTTCTTCCCAAAATAGAGCGGAAGTAGGTTGAAAGGAGTTTCTCACATAAAAGAGAATGAAGATCAGTTGTTCATCCATCAGAAATGTTCTTTAAAAGAAACAGGGCTTAAATAAGATAGCTGTAAACTCCATTTCAAAACAAACTTCCTCTTCTAAGTGTTCCAGGTAAGGATGGGTGAAATAATCCAATTAAGATATACCGTTTAAAACCTGATTTTTAAAAAATCTTGCCCACATCAGTTCATTGATGTAAATTATTAAAACACTTTTGTTGAATTTCTAATGTGAGTAGAGCCTAAAGATAAAAAAAATACTCTTAGGAAACAAACCAGAGGTGATTTTTATCATTTTATTTTATAAACTTTCACTCCCTAGACCTAGAGAGTATCCAGTTATTTGTCATAATAATTTCTCCAACTCTAAGTTCAGAAGATATGATCAATTATTTAGGAATTCATGCTACAGACTCTACATCCTATACTCTGGCAGCATGAATTATCCTCCTTACATCTCTAGGTTAATTCCATGTCAGTGTCATTAATGAGCTCTTGGATCAAGAAGACCTCATGCAGAGTTAGACAAAAAGACAAATACTGGTGAGTCCTCTTCTTTCTACTCAGTGAGTAAATTTGGAGACTGCAAACCCAGACATGCTTCTGTGATTGAAATTACATTTGTATGTAATTTTAATATTAAGTTCTGAATACAATAGATACATTTGAAGACTTAGGTTTTTCTTACCTTTGATTTCATATGAACCATATAAACAAAAGTGATAAAATTATTAATATCAATTCTGATGTTTCCCAGCTTAATTTAATCACATCCTTTGATTCTTCTAACATGTGTTAACATTTGACTCTCCGTCTGATGCTCATACTTCATGCAAATCTAATTTAGTCAGAATCACTAAGGATGAAATCTAAGTATTAGCAATTTTTAAAGTTTTCATAGGTGATTCTCATTGCTGTTATACTGATGCCTGATCCCCACCCCCAGCATCTGTGATGCAATTAGTCTGAAATAGAGCAGGGAATGACAATTTTTAAAACCTCCCTAGGTGCTTCTAATGTGAAGCCATGTTGAGAGCCACAAGGCTAATGGTGTTATAATCTTAGTGATAGATTTACTAGAAGTAAATTGATATCTGTGACAATTCTGCCCTATCTGGCCTTAGAATGTGCCTGATTTCTTTGAATTTTAAAGGAAAGAAGCTCAAAATATTAGAAGTTCTCAAAAATCAAATTATGACAAAATTACTAGAAATAAAATAAAAAGCATTAAGGACTGAATCTTTGTGTCCCCACCTCCCCCAGATTCATTTATTACAGCCGTAACTTTCAAGGTGACAGTATTTGGAGATGGGGCCTTTGGGAGGTGATTAGGTTTAGATGAAGTCATGAGGTTGGGGCCTCATTAGGGGATGCGTGTACTCATAAGATAAAGAGATTAGAGCTCTCTGTCTCCGCCATGTGAGGATACAACAACAACAACAACAACAAACACAGTTGTTTGCAAACCAGGAAGAAGAACCTCATCAGAACCTGACCATGCTGCCACCCCGATCTTGGACTTCCCAGTCTCTAGAACTGTGAGAAATATGTGTCTGTTGCTTAAGCCAACAGTCTATGGCATTTTGTTATAATAGCCAGAGCTGACTAATACAAAGAGCATCTAATACAACAGGAGAAGGGAGGAAACAAAATATTCTTAATGTATCCAGGTTAATTTGAATCACACGTACAAACACACACCTACATATAACAGAAAAAAACCCCAAAATTTTAAAGTATAATTGCATATGAGAACATTGAAGAAGATGATTATCAGTGCCACTACACAGAACTTTCTGAAAGGATTGAATATTGAATGGATAAAAATATGTGTAAAAGATTAAAGAAAGGGCATCAAGTGAGGGAGAGTCTTAAAAATGTTTTCAATAAGGCTTTCAAAAATGTTGAATGATCAAATACTTTGCTGGTTATTCACAGAATTAGGAGAAGTACATAATTCCTCTACAGATATAAATAAATTACAGAGAAAATTGGGCTTCCTCAATTCCAGTTTGTTTCTTTATAATGAACAATAATATTAAGAACAAAATGTCTGCAACTAAAATTGCTGTAAGGATATTGAAGTCCATGGTGTGTTAGGAGATTGTAGGACAGCTCTTAGCCAGTCTAAATGATTTTAGGAACTGATGAGGCCAGAGAAATTCTAGGTGTTAAGAGAATGTGCAAGTAACATTGATGCATTTCTGAAATAAAACCATTCATTCCCCAACTCTTTTAAAAATATAGATGTTAATTTAGAAGAAAAAAAAATTCAGTCGATTCATATTAGTATCTTCATTTTGCCTCTGGTCAAGATTCTAACAGATTATTTTTTAAAACCAAAGTATACATGCACATAGTTTAAGTAGTTTAACTTGTAACCAAAAAAATGTTCTTCTCCTTGTTCTCCCCTTCCCCATTTTCCTCTTTCTGGAGGCAGACAATCTCAACTTTTAATTTATACTCAAAGTATTGCCATTATATTTACAAATGACATGCTTAAATTGCTACTTTTAGATTTTGCCTATTTCAAGCATTATTAACTCACTCCACCACCACATTACCTCCATCTAACTCCTAAGTCACTTTAATTGTCCTACACTTTTGATGTTTTCACATGGTAATTTTGTTAGAGTACTATTAGATGTTTACATGTTATGTCAACATCCTTCAAAATGTAGTCATATTGTATGCACGATTACTTTTTCTTTCCTGTCTTCCTTCCAACTAGTACTAGTTTCATTATATTTGCTTAGTTTCCTGTATACATATTACTAATTCAACCCCAAACTGCCTAAATATTCACTAAGAATATCCAAATATATCAGATAATGTATTTCATCTTCTGAGTTGCTGCAATCTGAGCTGCTTGCCATTTTTTTTTAACCTAGTTCATAGTTGTCATTGTAATGTAGTATTTTACTTCTATCCTGGAGATTTTTCTTAAATTTCTGCTATTTTGAAACCCACTTTTCTAAGGTGTCATATTCTCTCTTTCTTATATTTATGGAGCATATCTCTATATGACTTTCAGAGAAATAGTACATGGGAGACGCATTTCTTGAGAATTCAGATGATAAGAAAATGTCTGAATTCACCCAGACTCACACTGGCCAGCAACCCACCCCAAGCCAACACCACCGGCAGTACAACTATGCACACAGTCTCCAGAAGGGGCCTTCTGGTGCTACTTCAGCTGCTTTGTCTCCTCCAGTTTAGTGAATGCCTGCAGGGAGGCAGGCACCCCTGTATCCATGGGCACCCTGCTGCAGCTGTCACACATTGGCTCCCCCAGGACAGTAGACTCCAAATCTCAAGGAGCCAGCAAACAAAGATGGTGCCCAATACAATGGCTTATCCTTTTAATGAGAGTTTGTTGGAGTATAGAAGTATAGATTGGAAATCACTTTCAGTTAAAATTTTGAAATCATTGCAATGTTATCTGGGTATTACTGAACAGATTTAAGCCATTTTGTTTTCTAATCTTTATTTTGTGTGTGGTTCCTGTTTCATTTCCTGACTTACTTACTTATAAATTTATTTATTTATTTATTTATTTTATTATTTGATACAAGGCCTTGCTCTGTCCCTCAGGCTGGAGTGCAGTAGTACAGTCACAGCTTACTGCAGCCTCAACCTCTCATGCTCAAGCAATCCTCCCACCTCAGCCTCCCAAGTAGCTGGGACTACACATGCATGCCACCACACCTGGCGAATTTTTGAATTTTTTGTAAAGACAGTGTTTCACCATGTTGTCCTGACTGCTCTTGAATTCCTGGGCTCAAGTGATCTGCCACCTCAGCCTCTCAATGTGTTGGGATTATAGGCATGCGCCACTGTGCTCAGCCTGTATACCATTTCTTGAAAAGAAAAACATAGCTTTCTGATCTTGTTTTATGAATGCATTTTCTATTTAAGAACATTAATGGATTTGGGGGATTTCGTTTTCTAAGTTTCTCAAAATCTCTGTTTCTTCCATGCTTGGTTACTGGTGTTCTGTTGATTTTCTTTCAGTTTTTCCTCTTTTTTTGGAAGGTCTCTCAAAGTGGTGGTATTATAGGCATGAGCCATCACACCCAGCCCATTCTGGATTTTTTTAATTTAAAAATCCAAATACATCTAAAGATATAAAATGTGTGGGATTGGAAGATTCAGTATTAAGATGTAAATTATTTGCAAATTGATCTAAGAGTTTAATATAATTCCAGTAAAATTTTTTGCAAACTTTTTTTGTAGAAATGACAAGCATTCTAAAAATTTTATGTAAATTAAGAACTAAAACAGCTTTGAAAGTGAAGAACAGAAGGGAAAGATGGCTGACTAGATGCAGATAAGTGGAACAAATAGCTCCCACAAGGGACTGGGATGACTCACATGCTTTTAACAGATCTTCAGAGGGAAGACACCTAGAGTGGATAGAAGGAAGACATAGAAGCTGGGCAGAAGGAGGAGAAAGCTGGGAACCCTGCATGGGCTACTGCACTGGGACTTATTTAGAAAATACAACCGCTCCAGGGGAATGGGTGAATTAAACTGGCAAGGAGCAACCCACTGTCACCAAAACCCTCTGGAATCCTGGTAGTAGGGGACCTCTCAACCATCATGGACACTTGGAGTGGCAGGGAAAGCTGCTTAGAGAATTGGTGCTTACAGGGCTTACAGGGCACTCCTAGGTACCCTGGGGCCCCATACCACAGCTTCTGTGCCGGTAGATCATACCTAACTGGTAGACAGCTCCAGTGAGGCGGCTCCTAGAGCCACACACCAGCCTGGATGCTCCCTCCCCGTACTGTTGCTTCCCCTCCACCCACAGCAACTCCCCACATCACTTTGCTGGCACTTTTCTGCACAGGGGGGTTTTGCTTTACTTGCCCTGCCAGCAATCCATAATGCAGTCTGCCCACACTCCCTGTGCTGACTGCCATTGCAGATGGAACCTTGGAGGTCACAGAGCCAGCAAGCCCCGCCCCTGCCTGTGCCCCACCCTTGCACTAACACTGTGCAGAGAACAACTGATCCTCCCACACCCTAATTGATCACTCCTGCTTTGGGATCATAGAGAAGGCACCCAGACTCACACTGGCCAGCATCCAACCCCAAGCCAACACCACTACCAGTACAAACCGTGTACACAGTCTCCAGAAGGGGCCTTCTGGTGGTGCCTCAGCTGCTTTGTCTCCTCCAGTTTAGTGAATGCCTGCAGGGAGGCAGGTACTCCTGTATCTATGGACACTCTGCTGCAGCTGCCACACATTGGCTCCCCCAGGGCAGTGGACTCCAAACCTCAAGGAGCCAGAAAAGAAAGATGGGGCCCAATACAAGTATCCCAGAGTTAGAGCACACAGTACGGCAGCTGGGAGCTGAGCGTTGGCTCCCTAAAATTTCCCAGGAATGCAGCAAGTTGGTTGAATCCACCTTATACCACAATCAAACCCTCAAGGCCATCAAATAGGATAAAAGATAAAACAACAATCCAAAGGTCAGCACCCTCAAAGATTGAAGGTAGATAAGCCCACAAATGTGAGAAAGAAATTGTGCAAGAATGCTGAAAACTCAACAAGCCAGACTGCCTTCTTTCTTCCAAACAAACACATCACCTTTCCAGCAAGCGTTTGGAACTGGGCTAAGATGGCTGAGATGACAGAAATAGAATTCAAAAATTGGATAGTAATGAAGTTCATTGAGCTCTTAAAGACCTAAAAAGAGACTTAGACTCCCACGCAATACAGTGGTCTACTTTAACAACCCACTGACAGTATTAGACAGATCATCAAGACAGAAAATTAACAAAGATATACAGGACATAAACTCAGCACTGGATTAAATGGACTTGATAGGTATCTACAGAACACTCCACCCAAAAACAACAAAATATACATTCTTCTTATCACCACATGACACACTCTATAATTGATCACATAATCAGCAGTAAAAACTCCTCAGCAAATGCAAAATAACTAAAATCATAACAATTTATTTAACCAGAACACAATCAAATTAGAACTCAAGAAATTCACTAAAAACCATACAATTACATGAAAATTGAATAACCTGCTCCTAAATGACTTTTGGGTAAACAATGAAATTAAGGCAGAAATTAACAAGATATTGGAAACTAATGAGAATAAAGATACAACATGCCAGAATCTCCAGAACACAGCTAAGACAGTGTTAAGGGGAAATTTATAGCACATTTGGTGCCCACATCAAAAAGTTAGAAAGATCTCAAGTTAACAGACTAACATCACAACTAGGAGAACTAGAGAACCAAAAGGAAACAAATCTTAAAGCTGGCAGAAGACAAGAATAACCAAAATCAGAGCTGAACTGAAGGAGGTTGAGGCCCAAAAACAAAACAAAACAAAACAAAAATTCAAATAGCAAATAATCCAGGAGTTGTGGGGGATTTTTTGAAAAAAAAAAAAATAAAATATATAGACCTCTAGCTAGACTAATAAGAAAAGAGGGAAGATTTTAATAAACACAATCAGAAGCAACAAGGGGGATGTTACCACTGACCCCACAGAAATACAACCAATGATCAGAGAATATTATGAACACCTCTTCCCACATAAACCAGAAAATCTAGAAAATGGATAAATTCCTGGACATATACACCATCCCATGACTGAACCAGGAAGAAATTAAATTCCTGAACAGACCAATAATGAGCTCTGAAATTGAAGCAGTAATAAATAGCCTACTACCAAAAAAAGCCCAGGACCAGAGGCATTCATAGCTGATTTCTACCAGATGTAAAAAGAAAAGCTGGTACCATTCCTACGAAACTATTCCAAAATTGAGGAGGAGGACTCCTCCCTTGCTCATTCTATGAGGTCAGCATTGTCCTGATACCAAAACCTGGCAGAGATACAACAAATTAAGAAAACTGCAGACCGATATCCTTGTTGAACATGTATGTAAAAATCCCTAATAAAATACTGGCAAACTGAATCCAGCAACACATCAAAAATCTTGTCCACCACAATCAAGTAGGCTTTATCCCTGGGATGCAAAGTTGGTTCAACATATGCAAATCAATAAATGTGATTAAGCACATAAACAGAACAAAGACAAATAACATGATTTTTATCTCAATAGACACAGGAAAGGTTTTTGATAACATTCAACACCCCTTCGTGTTAAAAACTCTCAATTAAGTAGGCTTTGAAGGAATATATCTAAAAATAATGAGTCATCAATGGCAAACCCAGACCCAACATCATATTAGATGGGCAAAAACTGGAAGCATTCCCCTTGAAAACTAGTACAAGACAGGTATTTCCTCTCTCACCATTCCTCTTCAGTATAGTATTGACGTCTTGGACATGGCAATCAGGCAAGAGAAAGAAATAAAATGCATCCAAGTGGGAAGAGAGGATTTCAACCCATCCCTGTTGGCAGGCAACATGATTCCATATCTAGAAAACCCCATAGTGTCTTCCCAAAAGATTCAGAAGATGATAAACAACAATTTTAGCAAAGTCTCAGGATACGCAATCAAAGTGCAAAAATCACTAACATTCCTATACATCACTAACAGTCAAGAGCCAAATCACAAATGAACTCCCATTCACAATTGCCTCAAAAAGAATATGATTCCTAGGAATACAGCTAACTAGTGAGGTGAAAGATCTCTGCAAGGAGAACTACAAATCACTGCACAAAGAAATCAGAGATGACACAAACAAATGGAAAAACATTCCATGCTCCTGGGTAGGAAAAACCGATATCATTAAAATAGCCATATGATTTATAGGTTCAATGTTATTTCTATTAAACTACCAATGACATTCTTCAAATAACTAGAGAAAACTATTTTAAAATTCACACAGAACCCAAAAAGAGCCCAAATAACCAAGGAATCCTAAGCAAAAAGAACAAAGCTGGAGGCATCACTCTCCCTGACTTCGAACTATACTACAGGGCTACAGTAACCAAAACAGCATGGCACTGGTAAAAAACAGGCACGTAGATCAATGAAATAGAATACAGAACCCAGGAATAAGGCTGCACACCTACAACTACCTGGTCTTCAACAAACCTTACAAAAACAAGCTATGAGGAAAATATTCCCTATTCAATCAATGACTGTGAGATAACTGACTAGCCACATACAGAAGACTGAACCTGGACCCCTTTCTTATATCATATGCAAAAATTAACTTAAGATGTATTAAAGACTTAAATGTAAAACCCACAACTATAAAAACTCTGGAATACAACCTAGGCAATACCATTCAGGACATAGGCACAGGCAAAGATTTCATAATGAAGACAGCAGAGGCAATTGCAAAAAAGGCAAAAATTGATAAATGAGATCTAATTAAACTAAAGAGCTTCTGCACAGCAAAAGAAACTATCAACAGAGGAAAGAGAAAACCTACAGAATGTGAGGAAATTTTTTCAAACTATGCATCCAACAAAAGTCTAATACCCAGCATCTGTAGGAAACAAACAAATTTACAAGAGAAAAACAACCCCTTTTAAAAAGCGGGCAAAGTATATGAACAGACACTTTTCAAAACAAGACATACATATGGCTGACAATCACATGGAAAAAAACTCAACATCGCTGATTATTAGAGAAATGCAAATCAAAACCACAATGAGACAGCATCTCACACAAGCGAAAATGGCTATTAAAAAATAAAAAAAGGGCCAAGTGCGATGGCTCATGCCTGTAATCTCAGCACTTTGGGAGGCTCAGGCAAGTGGATCACAAGGTCAGGAGATCAAGACCATCCTGGTTAACGTGGTGAAACCCTGTCTCTACTAAAAATACAAAAAAATTAGCTGGGTGTGGTGGCACATGCCTGTTAACCCAGCTACTCAGGAGGCTGAGGCTGGAGAATCGCTTGAACCATGGAGTCGGAGTTTGCAGTGAGCCAAGACTGTCACTGCACCGCAGCCTGGTAAAAGAGCAAGACTATCTAAGAAAAAAAAAAGACTAACAATAACAGATGCTGGTGAAGTTATGGAGAAAAAGGAGTGCTTAAACACTGTTGGTAGAGTGTAAATTGGTTTAAACGTTGTGGAAGACAATGTGGTGATTTCTCAAAGACCTAAAGATAGAAATACCATTTGACCTAGCAATTCCATTACTGGGTATATACCCAAAGCAATATAAATAATTCTATTATAAAAACACATGCATGCGTATGTTCATTGCAGGACTAGTCACAAAGACATGGAATCAACCTAAATTACCATCAATTACACATTAGATAAAGAAAATGTGGTATATACACACCATGGAACACTATGCAGCCATGAAGAAGAATGAGATCATGTCCTCTGCAAAGATATGGATGGAGCTGGAGACCATAATCCTTAGCAAACCAAGGCAGGAACAGAAAACCAAATACTGCATGTTCTCACTTATAAGTGTGAGCTAAATGATGGGAACACGTAGACACATAGAGGGGAACACACATACTGGGGCCAATAAGAGGAAGGTTTGAGGAAGGAGAAGATCAAGAAAACTAGTTAATAAGTATAAAGCTTAATACCTGGGTGATGAACTAATCTGTACAACAAACACCCATGACACACAGTTACCTATGTAACAAACCTGCACATGTACCCCTGAACTTAAAAGTTAAAAAAAAAAAAGGAAATGAAGAACAAAGTTGAAGGAATTATCTGATTCTAAGACTTACTCTGAACTTCCAGTAATCAAGATAGTGTAAGACAAAATAGATCAAGTGAAATAATGGTGTCCAGACATAGATTCACACATAACAAATGAAATTAGTTTTTATAATGAGATCAAATCAATTTAATGGAGGAAATAAACAGTCTTCAAAGAATAGTGCTTGAGCAACTGGAAATCTGTATTTTGTAAAAAATGACCTTCAGTTCTTACTTCATACCCTACATAAAATTTAATGTGAGATGAAAAACAGACCTAAATGCACATGTTAGTACTATAAAGCTTGTAGAAGAAAACATTAAAGAATGTCTCCATGACTTTGGGGGAGGCAAATGTTCTTAAAAGCACACATTGAAAGCACTAACCATAGGGAATAAAATGATAAACTGACTTCATAAAATTAAAAATGTCGGCATATCAAATGGTATCATTAAAAAATAAATAGGCAAGTCAAGACTGAGAAAAATATCTAAATTACATATATTTGACAAAATATCTTTATTTGGAATATATAAAGAATTTCTACAACTGAATAATATAAAGACAATCCAACAATATGGACAAAAGGCTCTAATAGACATTTCACAAGAGAAGGTACGTAAATGACCAATAAGCAATCCTAGCCATTAGGGAGATGGAATTAAAATCACCATGATACACTACTATATACCTACTAGGATTGCTAAAACAAAACCCAGTCAGCATTAAATGGTGCAAGGACATGCTGTAACTGGAACTGTCAGACATTGTTTTTGAGAGTGTAAAAATGTATAAATTCTTTGTAAATTCTTTGGCATGCTATTAAAAATGTAAACACACATCTACTCAGTGTCCTAGAAACTTTTATGTATTTTTTTTAGACGGAGTGAAAACATGTTGCACTAAAAGCCTTGCATGCCTATGCTAATAGCAGTTTTACTCATAACAGGCAAACTGGAAACAGCCCAGATGGTCATTAACAACAATGAATAAACTATAGTATATTCATGCCATGAAATAATACTCAGCATTAAAATGAATGAACTACTGTTGTACTTAACATCGGTCTTTCTCAAAAATATTATGCTGAGTGAACAAAGCTAGACGATACGGAATACATCTTTTATCATTTCATTTCTATGAAGTTTTAAAACAGGCGAAATCAATCTATTGTGATGGGAATCATATCATTGCTTGCTTTGAGGGAGTAATTCAATGGGCAATGGTATGAAAGAACTTCTAGGGTGATAAAATATTCTTAGTAAGAGTCAAGTTAAATATACGTATATATATATACACACACACACATATATATATCTGTATGTATGTCAAAATTGATGAAAAGATATACATAAGACTTACAAATTTCATTCTGGGTGTACTATACCTCAATAAACTTAACACATAGGGATGAAAGAAGTTAAGGAATAAATCACAAGAATTTTGGGGCTGAGTGCCTTAATAGTAATATCTAAAAACAATCATATTTATTATCATCTACTTAGCTTATTACATCTTAAGTATGATAATGTACCTACTCATAATTTTTAAATCCGCCAATAAATTATCAAATAATTAGTCTTTGGAAGCATTATATATGACACATTACATATTCATAATATTTGGCATATAGTATTTATATTCCTATTCTTAAAATTAAATAAATTCGAGGAAAAAGTAAAGAAAGAATTTGAAAAAACATAGCAGCATAAGAAAAGGTATGGTATTAGCAAGCACACACGGACTCCTTTATTCATTCAGCGCTGACATAACCTATTATGGTTAAACATATCATTACCTATGGAGGGTTTATAATAACAACAAAAAAAGACATTACCTATGGAGGGTTTATAATAACAACAATAAAAGACATGAAGTAAAAAATTCTTCCTGACCTAACTTAATTTAGGAGTAAATTTTACACATACAATTCAGTATGTGATTATTTGCCAAAATTAGTGGATGTGACAAATATGTAGAGAAAGAATGAAAAGTAATAGCCACATTAGTGGTTTTGTTTTGTTTTTATGAATATATATATTTATATATACACACATATATACATATATGCATATTATATATATATTTATATATTATATATATATATATATATAAATTTTTGTTTGAAAACTTAAACTAAACTCTCAAGCAGGGGATGTTATGGTGAAATCTTTTTTCCTCCGGTCTCATGAAGCTACCTTCATCAGTTGATGGGAACAAGACCCCTGAGAAGAGGGTTGGGAGCTTAGTGTATGGGTCCCTAGATTAATGTATCCAAAAGAGATGTGTTCAGATTGTCGATACAGATTATTTGTCAAGAGTGTTCAAGGTTATCATTTGGCAACTAATACCACCAAAAAAGGTAAAGTGCAAGAAAAACTATTTGACCTTAAATTGTTGATTTTTTAAAATGGAAACAATTGGTTATGAAATATCAGGATGCTTCAGAAATGACAGACATGAATGAGATAACAACCTTGAGTAGATACACAGACAAACAGGAATTCTAGTCAGTGCCAATCCCCACTAACACATCGTTGTGCATACACTGAGAATTTCATCTTTCTTCTCTTTGAATATCACACTATTATGTTTCATCTGTATTAAATAAATTAAGTAATTTGCTCTGTTGCCCTTCCTCATTTTCTTATTTCATTTCTTAAAACAAATGAAAATATGCTGTGATCATAATGCATGACAATATAATTCAGAAAATAGAAACTAAGCATTTAAAATGCTTTCATATTTCATTTATGAGACTTTTTTTTTGTACTATGTATGTGTTTCTGTGGTTCCTGAATAAATGGCATCTTCCATCAATATTTAATTGTCATCTCCAGGATTCCTAGATTTTGGGAGCTAATAATGAAATATATCCCTTTATATCCTACAAAAGAGACAGCAAAGTTATGTTGCTTCCCGTAACATTTTAAATACATTAGTTGATTCACTAAACTTCTTTTTCTCACCTACAAAGAGAAAGCAAATAATTTTAACCATCTCAATAATTCTGTTTAATTTTGTTTTTTAAATGCTTGAACATAAGCCCATCAAACTAACTGAAGTAACAAATGAAAGGCTCATTATTAGTATAAAGTGGTTTTATAGTACCAACAAAAAAGCAAGGAACTACAAGCAAATGCATGAGAAGTGGAAAGTCAGATACTTATGCCCCTTTCTGCATCTCTCTCTTCTCTGCTTCTCTCCAGGTGCCTACTCAAATTTCCTCCCATTGTGGGCAAGTTTCCTTTGCTTTCTCAGTTTACACGTGGCACAACATGCCCATCAGACTCAACTTTATTTGGGGACATTTTGGCTTTAAGCCAACATCAGTAATGACTTGGTTCAGATGTCCTTTCTTTAAGGGCCACTAAAATTCCCCTTGCTTCCAGGGAGCATGTATGCAGAAATGGATATCAAGGATATCAAAGCAAGGCCTTGTAGGCCTTGTAGGGCCTGCCTGGGTCTCTAATCCATTTCTGCACACATGAACATATCAAAGCCACTCTTAGAATCACTGAAGTGTGAGCTATTTGGACTGAGGATAATAACCTTGTTCATGAATCACAGCTTAGAAGCAACCCTGCAAGAATGTTTTCTATTCCATGGGTTAGTGGAAAGTTTTTAGACCCAGGGAGAAATTTTGTATAAAAAGAGAAATTCCATAAGAAGAAACAGTTGTCACTTTTAAAATCTAATCATCAACTTTAGGTTAGGATGAGCGATCACTGATGATAATTCTTGGTAGTATATAGCCTGTTTAAATAGTTTACTAGATGTTTTGAACCAAATTTATCAGTAGTAACTTTAGAATTTGGTAAAGGCAGATAAGATTATTTTGGTACCTGAATCTACACTGAAATAAACTGGCTTCATCATCCTAACTGTGGCTATTTACCTGAGGATTGTGTGGCTTATGTCAGTGAAAATTCCCAAAGATATTGAAATTAACTGGACTAATTCCAGTATATAATGGGCACATCATAAGCTGTATTCCATTCCCAGCTAAGCAAAATACAGAGATGTTTCCTAATCCTTGTACTACTATATGACCCCTGTACTAATATATGGCATTGCCTTCATAGATTTGCAATAATTTACATAGCAGGATGCATTAGTTGGAGATAATTAAATATATTTTATCTTTTATATCTACATGCTGAAATTATTTTATTTGTTTACTTGTATGTGTGCTTCTCCAAGGCAATAGCATCTGCTTGTACTCATTTTCCCATTGCATTTCTAATATGCACCAAATATGGATTATCCAATTCAGGACTGATATGTTTTTGAAGGGAATGCATTTACAGCTCATGGAATGATGCCTTCGGCTATTTACAGAAAAAGGGACTTTCTAGTGAAAGAATATCACTCATATCTCTTAAACAAATATTAATATTAGTTTACCCTATTAGGGTCTACAAATGGCTAAGGCATACCTTGCACTTATTTATATCCTTAAAGAGAGCAAGAGAAAAAAACGACCCAATCAAACAATAAATACATTACAATTAAATATATACTTCATCAACACTTTCTCTTTCCTGGGTTAAAGAAAATGACCTGTGAAGTGGTGCATAGATCAACTTAATATATGGGATTTTTTATAATTTGGATTTGATGAGTTAAATATTGCTTTTGAATGGTTGATGATAAAAAACTTTAAAGAGTAAAAGCATTGAAAGTTCTATGAATTATTTTTATGTATGTTCAGCATCTAGGAGTAGATGACATTTAATAATTATTTCTTAATTTATTGAATGAGTGAAGGCAAAGGGAAATAAAAAGGACATTTACTTTATAGAATTGTTTTCAATGTCTACATCACAAATACAATAGACATACCTGTATTGAAAAGGCAGCCTCTGAGCACTCAATATCCTTATTATAAATGTCCTTTATCTCAGTGCTGCATAGATTCTATTGCTCAGTTTTCTTACTCAAATTGATAGGTGTTACTCATTTTCTTAATCTCTATTCATAGCTTCCAAAATTGTGGTGAATGTGGACCTACACTTTATCCCACAAGCAATCGCCTGTCTACTTCTTTTTTTTTCTTTAATCGTTTTTTTATTATTTTTTATTTTATTATTATTATACTTTAAGTTTTAGGGTACATGTGCATAATGTGCAGGTTTGTTACATATGTATACATGTGCCATGCTGGTGTGTTGCACCCATTAACTCGTCATTTAGCATTAGGTATATCTCCTAATGCTATCCATCCCCCCTCCCCCCACCCCACGACAGTCCCCAGAGTGTGATGTTCCCCTTCCTGTGTCCATGTGTTCTCATTGTCCAATTCCCACCTATGAGTGAGAACATGCGGTGTTTGGTATTTTTGTCCTTGCGATAGTTTACTGAGAATGGTGATTTCCAATTTCATCCATGTCCCTACAAAGGAAATGAACTCATCATTTTTTATGGCTGCATAGCATTCCATGCTGTATATGTGCCACATTTTCTTAATGCAGTCTATCACTGGTGGACATTTCTCTACTTCTTTAAGACTCACAGATTCTCTAAATCAAATTGGGAAAAGGTTAGAAATTCATAGAAGTAACCATTTCCTATGAATCTCCACATTGTTGGTTCTGTGTTTGGCTTTTTTTATTCTGCTAGGAAAATCTTTGCAAACCTGTCTTTTGTCTTTATCAAGAATTGTACTTGTTCTCTTGGGCTTCCCTGAAATGGTATAAATTTTAAACAGAGCTTGTAGGTTGAATAATACCAGTCAATGCTGTTAATTAACTGCAAGATATTCAGGTCTTTCTATAAGGCTCAAAGTAAACTAGGTACCTTAAAAATGTGTTGTTAAAACATATTTTGTTTAGTATCACCAAAGGCACAAGGGAACTTTTTTTAAAAAATACATTTGAGACAATGAAATAGAAAAAAAAACTAAGTCCCTGTTTATTAGAAATGAATATTTTAAAAACATAAGTTTAAAATCTTAATTATATTCTATTTTGAGCATAAATTAGTTATGTTTATTATTTTATTTTTCATATTTTTTATCTCTGAATTAGCATGCAGTTTACAGTCATTTTCAGCTAAGTGGATTTGTGAAATAGTTGACATTTTCTGAACAAGAAAAGCACCATAAAATTTGCATGGTGCATATTAAAAACTTGGAAGAAAATATAGGGAAATTTTGGGTCATAATTTTAGGAAATGCTCCTCCACCAGTGCTCTTGATGGAGCAAACACAGGACCATACTCTGGGACAACATGGAGACCAACAATTCAACAATTCATAATAGAAAAGTATTCAGAAGAGTTGGGCTTTGGTGAGAAGTTCTAAAAAAAAAAAAGCTTAAATTTGTCTTGCATATATTTTGCAAAAAAGACTGGATTTTATATTTCTACACTTATAGCTTTTTACTATTTCTTGAATTGGCTTCATTTATGTCCAAAATAACCACCATACTTAGTACAGTAGCCTACTATGTGCTGGGTACAGGGGCAGGTACTTTATATGTATTTCTATTTTGTTGTAATAATATAATTCAGATATCATTAGACACATTTAGATATCATTAGACACATAATCTTAGAGTATAAATAAATTGCCAAAGCTAATAGTGAATGGTGATTCTGGAATGTAGGGCTCAGTTTTCAGAAGCTCCATTGCTTATATTATGCTTTCACATATTAAAATTATTACAGGAGGAACTAACCATTCATTAATCTTCTAGTAATCATTAATTCCTTGGCGGCATCCTCAAATTTAATCGAACAATGTCTACTTAGCAACTATTGTGTTCATTTCTTAAGTAGTTAACGATTTTTTAGATTGAGCAGCTACTATCTGCCAGACATAGTTCTAGAAACTGGGTATATAGCAATAAACAAAAGAGAACACAAGTCATGCTCTTATGGAGCTGACATTCTAGTAAGAAAGGGTCAAAGTATGAACAAAACATACTTGCATAAAGACAAAGTCTATAGAGGAAAAATAAAATAAGGAAGAGGGATAGACAGTCTGAGCTGGGAAGGGTCTTGCAATATTATACAAGGTAACGAAGTAGGTTCTCATAGAGAATGTGGCATTTGAATAAAGACTTAATGTAGGCAAGAAGAAACTGTTGGATTTATCTGTGGAAAAGATGGGTGAGCATCAAGAGTAACATTTTAAAATTTAAGTAGCTGACATATTTGAAGAACAAGACAGCAGTCTGGCTAGAGCAGAGTAAGTTAAAACTAGTTATACTGAATGAGGTTCGAACAGTAATAGAAGGAAGGGGGCTACTGGGTAGGTCCTTAACAACTTTCTCTGGCGGTTACTGTGTATAAGATTAAAAACTATTGGAAGATTTTAAATAGATGTGTATCACAAGGTGCCTTCGATTTTTAAAAATATGACAGTGGCTGCTACTGTGTTGAGAATAGATTGAGAAGAGCAAAGACAATTAGGAAGACAAAGTAGATTATTGGCAACAAACCAGGCAAGGCATTGATAGTGGGCTTGGAGAAGTGATAGCAAGTGAAAATGACAACATGTAATTGGATTCTGGATATACTTTGAAGATAGAGCCTAAATTATTTGCTAGTGGATTGAATGTGGGATGTGAGCAACATACAGTAGTAAAAAAAAAAAAAAAAAACACCCTAAAATTCTTGGATTGTAGAAGTGGAAAGTTCTAGATGATATTTACTGAGATAAAGGCAACTGCAAGAGCAGCAGATTTGGGGACAGGGTAATCAGAAGCTTAGATTTAAGCATGTTAAATCCCTATTCAATATTCCATATAGACATAAAGTAGTCAGTAGGGAAAAAAGACTGGACTTCATGGAAAGTATGTGGGCAGAGATACAAATTTGGGAGTCATCAGATGGCTTGTGAAGACATAAGACTAGAGGAGATCTTCAAGGAAGCAATTTGCAGTGAAAGTAGCTGAGGCCAGAGGACACTCGACATTTAATGGTTAAGGAGAAGAAGTAGCAATGTGCTAAGGAGACTACAAAGGAAAAGCTAGAGAAATGTCCAATGAATATGGTATTGTTGGAGCCAGCTGACAACTGTGGCTCCAAGCAGAAGAGAATGAACTATGATATATCCAGCTGATAACAGGAAGATGTAGGATTCACTTTGGAATTTAGCAACGTAGAAATTGTCAGTTTTGATAAGTGAACCTGGCAGAATGGTAGGGGCCAAAACCTGATGAAAGTTGTGCCAACAGAGAACAGGAGAGGATCTGCACATAGTATGTACTGAAAACTCTTAAGAATTTTGTTATAAAAAACAAGAGAATGAGGTAGTGGGTGGAAGTAAACACGGGATAATGAGATGGCCAGAAATTGTGTTAGGCTCAAGCAATACAAAGATGTATAAAGTACAGGCCTATTCTCAGTGAATAGGGTTCTTTATTTAATTTTTTTATTTCTTCTTAAACAAAAAATGGATACTAGGCAGAACGTGCATTTGTATACACACGGGCAAACATGAGCCATGGTGGTTTGCTGCACCTACTGGCCTGTCCTTTAAGTTCCCTCCCCTCACCCCTACCCCTAGTAGGCCCTGGTGTGTGTTTTTCCCCTGTGTCCATGTGTTCTCATTGCTCGACTCCCACTTATGAGTGAAAACATGTGGTGTTTGTTTTTCTGTCCCTGTGTTAGTTTGCTGAGGATGATGGTTTCCAGCTTTCATCCATGTCCCTGCAAAGGACATGAGCTCATTCAATTTTATGGCTGCATAGTGTATATGTACCACATTTTCTTTATCCAGTCTATCATTGATGGGCATTTAGGTTGGTTCCATGTGTTTGCTATTGTAAAGAGTGCTGCAATAAATGTATGTGTGCATGTGTCTTCACAGAAGAATGATTTATATTCCTTTGGTTATATACTCAAGTAATGGGGTTACTGGGTTAAATAATATTTCTAGTTCCAGATTACTGAGGAAACGCCACACTGTTTTTCACAATGGTTTAATTTACATTCCCACCAGCAGCGTAAAAGTGTTCCTATTTCTCCAAAGCCTCGCCAGTATCTATTGTTTCTTGACTTTTTAATAATTGTCATTCTAACTGGCATGAGATGGTATCTCATTGTGGTTTTGATTTTCATTTCTCTGATGATCAGAGATGTTGAGCTTTTTTTTCATGTTTGGTGGACTTGTAAATGTCTTCTTTTGAGAAGTGTCTGTTCATACCCTTTGCCCACTTTTTGATGGAGTTGTTTGGTTTTTTTGTAATTTAAGTTCCTTGTAAATTTTGCATATTAGACCTTTGTCAGATGGGTAGATTGTAAAATTTTTTTTCCCATTCTGTAGATTGCTTGTTCACTCTGAAGATAGTTTCTTTTGCTGTGCAGAAGCACTTTAATTTAATTAAATCCCATTTGTCAACTTTGCCTTTTGTTGCAATTGCTTTTGGCGTTTTTGTCATGAAGTCTTTGCCCATGTCTATGCCCTGAATGGAATTGCCTAGGTTTTCTTCTAGAATTTTTACAGTTTGGGGTTTTACATTTAAGTTTTCAATCCATCTTGAGGTAATTTCTGTATAAGGTATAAGGAAGGGGTCCAGTTTCTGTTTTCTGCATGTGGCTAGCCAGTTTTCCCAGCACCTTTTGTGGAAAAGGAGATCCTTTCCCCATTGCTTGTTTTTGTCAGGTTTGTCGAAGATCAGATGGCTGCAGATGTGTGGCATTATTTCTGAGGTCTCTGATCTGTTCCATTGGTCTATATGCCTGTTTTGATACAAGTACCATGCTGTTTTGGTTACTGTAGCCATGTAGTATAGTTTGAAGTCATGTAACGTGATGCCTCCAGCTTTGTTCTCTTTGTTCAGAATTGTCTTGGCCATACAAGGTCTTCTTTGATTCCAAATTAAATTTGAAGTAGTTTTTTCCAATTCTGTAAAGACTGTCAATGGTAGTTTTATGGGAATAGCATTGAATCTATAAGTTACTTTCAGCAGTATGTCCATTTTCATGATATTGTTTTTTCCTATCTGTGAGGATGGATTGTTTTTCCATTTGTTTGTGTCCTCTCTTATTTCCTTGAGCAGCGGTTTTTAGTTCTTTTTGAAGAGGTCCTTCACATCCCTTATTAGCTCTATTCCTAGATATTTTATTCTTTTTGTAGTGATTGTGAATGGCAGCTCATTCATGATTTGGCTCTCTGCTTGTCTTTTGTTGGTGTAAAGGAATGCTTGTGATTTTTGCACAGTGATTTTGTATACTGAGACTTTGCTGAATTTGCTTATCAGTTTAAGGAGTTTTTGGGCTGAGATGATGTGGCTTTCTAAATATAAAATCATGTCTTCTGCAAACATAGACAATTTGGCTTACTCTCTTCCTATTTGAATATGCTTTATTTCTTTCTCTTGCCTGATTGCCCTGGCCAGAACTTCCAATACTACATTGACTAGGAGTGGTGAGAGAGGGCATCCTTGTTTTGTACCGGTTTTCAAAGGGAATGCTTCCAGCTTTTACCCATTCAATATGATTTTGGCTGAGGGTTTGTCATAAATACCTCTTATTATTTTGAGATACATTCCTTCAATACCTAGTTTATTGAGAGTTTTTAACATGAAGGGATACTGAATTTTATCAAAGGTCTTTCTACATCTATTGAGATAATCATGTGGTTTATGTCTTTGGTTCTGTTTATGTGATGGATTACATTTATTAATCTGCATATGTTGAACCAGCCTTGCATCCCAGGGATGAAGCCAAATGACCATAGTGGATAAGGTTTTTAATGTGCTGCTGAATTCACTTTGCCAATATTTTATTGAGGATACTTGCATCAATGTTCGTCAGGGATATTGGCCTGAAGTTTTCTTTTTTTATTGTGTCTCTGCCAATTTTTGGTATGAGGATGATGCTGGCTTCATAAAATGAGTTAGGGAGAGTCCCTTCTTTTCAAATGTTTGGAATAGTTTCAGAAGGAATGGTACCAGCTCCTCTTTGTACTTCTGATAGATTTCGGCTGTGAATGTGTCTGGTCCTTTGCTTTTTCCAGTTAGTAGGCTATTAATTACTGTCTCAATTTCAGAACTTGTTATTGGTCTATTCAGGGATTCAACTTCTTCCTGGTTTAGTCTTGGGAGGGTGTATGTGTCCAGGAATTTATTCATTTCTTCTCAATTTTCTAGCTTATTTGTGTAGAGGTGTTTACAGTATTCTCTGATGGTAGCTTGTATTTCTATAGGATCAGTGGTGATATCCCCTTTATAATTTGTTATTATGTCTATTTGATTTTTCTCTCATTTCGTCTTTATTAGTTTAGCTAGCAGTCTATCTATTTTTTTTTGTTTGTTTTTTCAAAAAGCCAGGTTCTGCATTCATTGATTTTTTTGCGGGGTGTTTTCTGCCTCAATCTCCTTCAGTTCAGCTCTGATTTTGGTTATTTCCTGTCTTTTGCTAGCTTTTGGATTAATTTGCTCTTGCCTCTCTATCTCTTTTTATTGTGATATTAGGGTTTCAGTTTGAGATGTTTCTAGCTTTCTGATGTGCTGTAAATTTCCCTCTTAACACTGCTTTAGTTGTGTTCCAGAGATTCTGGTATGTTGGTCTCTTTGTTCTCATTGGTTTGAAAGAACTTCTTGAATTCTGCCTTAATTTCATTATTTATCCAGAAGTTATTCAGGAGCAGGCTGTTCAATTTCCATGTAATTGTGTGGTTTTGAGTGAGTTTCTTAATCCCAAGTTCTAATTTCATTGCACTGTGATCTGAGAGACTGTTTTATATGACTTCGGTTATTTTGTATTTGCTGAGGAGTGTTTTACTTCCAATTATGTGGTCAATTTTAGAATAAGTGCCATGTGGCACTGAGATGAATGTATATTCTGTTGTTCTGGGCTGCAGAGTTCTGTAGATGTCTATTAGGTCTACTTGATCCAGAGATGAACTCACGTCCTGAATATCCTTGCTAATTTCCTGTCTCATTGTTCTAATATTGACAGTGGGGTGTTAAAGTCTCTCACTATTATTGTGTGGGAGTCTAAATCTCTTTGTAGGTCTCTAAGAACTTGTTTTATAAATCTGGGTACTCCCATATTGGGTGCATATATATTTAGAATAGTTAGCTCTTCTGGTTGAATTGTTCCCTTTACCATTATTTAATTCCCTTGTCTTTTTTGATCTTTGTTTGTTTAAAATCTGTTTTGTCAGAGACTAGCATTGCAACCTTTGCTTTTGTTTTGCCTTCCATTTGCTTGGTAAATTTTCCTCCAACCCTTTATTTTGAGCCTATGTGTGTCTTTGCACATGAGATGGGTGTCCTGAATACAGCACACTGATGGGTCTTGAATCTTTAACAAATTTGCCAGTCTGTCTTTTAATTGGAGTATTTAGCTCATTCACATTTTAGTATTGTTATGTGTGAATTTGATCCTGTCATCATAATGCTATTTGTTTGTTTTGCAAACCACTTGATGCAGTTTCTTCACAGTGTCCTTGGTCTTTATATTTTGATGCGTTTTTAAAGTGCCTGGTACTAGTTTTTTCTTTCTATATTTAGTGCTTATTTTAGGAGCTCTTGCAAGGTGGGCCTGGTGGTAACAAAATCCCTTAGCATTCGATCGTCTGGAAATTTTTTTTGTCTCCCCATCACTTATAAGGCTTAGTTTGGCTAGATGTGAAATTCCGCGATGAAAATTCTTTTCTTTTTTTTTAATTATTTTTTATTTTATTATTATTATACCTTAAGTTTTAGGGTACATGTGCACAATGTGCAAGTTAGTTACATATGTATACATGTGCCATGCTGGTGTGCTGCACCCATTAACTCATCATTTAGCATTAGGTATATCTCCTAAAGCTATCCCTTCCCCCTCCCTCCACCCCACAACAGTCCCCAGAGTGTGATGTTCCCCTTCCTGTGTCCATGTGTTCTCATTGTTCAATTCCCACCTATGAGTGAGAATATGCGGTGTTTGCTTTTTTGTTCTTGTGATAGTTTACTGAGAATGACGATTTCCAATTTCATCCATGTCCCTACAAAGGGACATCATTTTTTATGGCTGCATAGTATTCCGTGGTGTATATGTGCCACATTTTCTTAATCCAGTCTGTCATTGTTGGACACTTCGCTTGGTTCCAAGTCTTTGCTATTGTGAATAGTGCCGCAATAAACATAGGTGTGCATGTGTCTTTATAGCAGCATGATTTATAGTCCTTTGGGTATATACCCAGTAATGGGATGGCTGGGTCAAATGGTATTTCTAGTTCTAGATCCCTGAGGAATCGCCACACTGACTTCCACAATGGTTGAACTAGTTTACAGTCCCACCAACAGTGTAAAATGTCCCTATTTCTCCACATCCTCTCCAGCACCTGTTGTTTCCTGACTTTTTAATGATTGCCATTCTAACTGGTGTGAGATGGTATCTCATTGTGGTTTTGATTTGCATTTCTCTGATAGCCAGTGATGATGAGCATTTTTTCATGTGTTTTTTGGCTGCATAAATGTCTTCTTTTGAGAAGTGTCTGTTCATGTCCTTCGCCCACTTTTTGATGGGGTTGTTTGTTTTTTTCTTGTAAATTTGTTTGAGTTCATTGTAGATTCTGTTTTTCTTTAAAAATGTTGAATATTGGCCCCCAATCTCTTCTGGCTTGTAGAGTTTCTGCCGAGAAATACACTGTTAGTCTAAAGGGCTTCCCTTTGTAGGTGACCTGACCTTTCTCCCTGGTTGCCCTTAACATTTTTTCCTTCATTTTGACCTTGGAGAATCTGATGCTTGTGTGTCTTGGGGTTGATCATCTCATGGAGTATCTTAGTAGTGTTCTCTGTATTTCCTGAATTTGAATGTTAGCCTGTCTTGCTAGGTTGGGGAAGCTCTCCTGGATAATATCCTGAAGTGTGTTTTCCAGTTTGTTTCCATTCTCCCTGTCTCCTTCAGGTACTCCAATCAATTGTAAGTTCAGTATTTTTAAGAAGTCCCATATTTCTTGGTGGCTTTCCTCATTCCTATTCATTCTTTTTTCTCTAGTCTTGTCTGCATGCCTTATTTCAGCAAGGTGGTCTCCAAACTCTGATATTCTTTCTTCTACTTAGTTGATTTGGCTATTGAATCTTGTTTATGCTTCACGAAGTTCTCGTGCTGTGTTTTTCAGCTCCATCAGGTCATTAATACTCCTCTGTAAACTGGTTAGTCTAGTTCGAGGCTCCTCTAACCTTTTATCAAGGTTCTTAACTTCTTTGCATTGGGTTAGAACATGCTCCTCTAGCTCAGCATAGTTTTTTATTACCCATTTTCTGAAGCTTACTTCTGTCATTTCATCCATCTCATTCTTTGTCCAGTTGTGCACCCTTGCTGGAGAGAAGCTGTGATCATTTGGAGGAGAAGAGGCACTCTGGCCTTTTGGGTTTTCAGCATTTTTTCATTGATTCTTTCTCATCTTCATGAGTTTGTCTATTTTCGATCTTTGAGGCCGTTGACCCTTGGATGGGGTTTTTGTAGGGTCTTTTTGTGGTTGTTGTTGATGCTGTTGTTGTTGCTTTCTGTTTGTTTTTCTTTTAATGGTCAGGTCCCTCTTCTGTAGGGCTGCTGCAGTTTGCTGGGGGTTCACTTCGGGCCCTACTCATCTGGTTTGCTCCCGTGTCTAGAGATGTCACTCAAGGAGTCTGGACAATAGCAAAGCTGGGTGCCTGCTCTTTCTTCTGGGATCTCTGACCTCAAGGGGCACCAACCTGATGCCAATAGGATTACTCCTGTATAGGGTGTCTTGAGAACCCCTGTTCGAGGGTCTCACCCAGTTGGGTGGCACAGAGAACAAGATCCATTTAATGAAGCACTTTGTCCCTTGGTGGAGTGGGTGTGCTTTGCTGGGAGTAAACCCACTCATCTGGGCTACCCAGATTCCTCAGAACTACCAGGAGGAAAGGCTAAGTCTGCTGGTCTGCAGAGACTGTGGCCACCCTTCCCCCTAGGGGTTCAGGCCCAGGGAGATCCAGGTTCTGTCCCTGAGCCTTTGGCTGGAGTTATTGGAGTTCCTTCAGGGAAGCCCCACCCAGTGAAGAAGGGTGAGTCAGGGTCAGGCCTGAAGAGGCACTCTGGCTGCAGTCTGCCACAGCCATTGTGTTGGTTATGGGAGACATGTCTTGGGACCAAGATGTCCAGCCTCCCTGGCTCCAGCAGGGGAAAAGTGCAGCCTGGAGCTATAGAGATGAATGCCATCCTTCCCTCGCCCAGGGAGCTTAGCGTGTTAGGCAGTTTGGAGTCCCAGGGCTGGCTGCTGCCCCTCTCACAAGTAGCTTAAATGGCTTAGACAGCAGGCTGCCACAGCTGTGGGGCTGGCTGCCCCTCCCCTTGGGAGCTCGGTAGGCTTAAGCAGATTCCAACTGAAAGGCTGTTGAGAATCTGCACAGCTCCTGGGTTGGGATGCTAGGCCCTGGTGGCGTGGTTTCACAAGTGGGATCTTCTGCTCTGTGGGTTGCACAGTTCCATGGAAAAAGCATGGTTTCCCTAGCTGGGTAGCACGCTCACTCACCACCTCCCTAGCTGGGGTGAGAAGACTCCCTTGCCCCATGTGGTTCTCAGGTGGGCCACTGCACCACACTGTCCTTTTTTCCTCTCCAAGGATCACACCAGCCTCCTAGTCAGTTCTGATGAGAGAATCTGGATACCTTAGTTGCTGGTGAAGGATTCACATGCTTATTATTATTCACATGCTTATTGTTATTATTCACAAGCTTATTATTATGGTTCTTTTCAATGAGAGCCTCCAAACACTGCTCTTTCTAGATGGCTATCTTGGCCCCACCCCACCAAACATAGGTCTTTAATACCTAATTAAGGTCCAGGAGAAAATCATTATCTCCTTGGGTAAATAATAATACAGTCTATTTTAAAATTAAATAAAAATATTCAGTAGCCTGTGCCCAGAGTGAATGGAATAACTGCTATGGGAAGATGGATAAGGGTGAGTCAGGTCAGTTTCAAGGTCTTCATTGAAGAAGAATAGCAGCAACTGAGCATTGGCATCTCAGCCTCCCTGAGCACAGGAAAGGAAATAGCTGTACTGCTGGGTTTGTTCAAAAATTATAAGATATTGAAATTAGTATCTCCTGTTTTGACAAATTCTAAAAGACAGCAATCATTTCTCTTGCTCTCAACATTTTCTGTAAGTTGTCCAATGTGATTCACCTGAGGCCCAGCATATGTCATTCCACAAGACAGATTGCAGACGCAGTGGCCACAGGCACTGGGCATTGATGCACCAAGTCAGTTCCACATGAGAAGATGCCAGCTCTCTTTCCAGTGAGCCAGTCTTGGAATCAGAGGCTGAAATTAGAGTTTGAAGTTGATCTTGGAGTCATTAAACCTTCTACTTACACTGGTGGGAGTTAAAGGATTTCTATTAAACTGATTTTACAGACATTTTATTAAATCATTTGACCAGTTTAAGAAGTATGTTCTGCATTACACAATTCCTACTCTAGTGGAAAACCTGCCTTCAAAAGACTGACAAAGGAAACTAACCCCTTGTCACAAGACATGTCACCAATTGAAAACATACTGCTGCTGGGATTTGCTGGCTGTTGGGATAGTTTATTGTGGAATAAAATGAGATTAAGATATACATTTCACATATGACAATAATAAAGCTTACCAGTTGGCTTTGCATGAATAGAATAAGTGCCTGTCTGGTTTGCATGATGTGAATTGTACTTGTTGACTTACTTTTCCAAATCCTCATTACCCCTTCCCCAGTGGTATTGTCTGAAAGCCTAAAATGATCATCATGCACATTATTGTTTAATAGTTTCATAATTTACTTGATCATATCTTACTGTGCATGGCATATCTTTGCCATAATTGGGCATGAACAGCCTACCTATGTTAGCATGAAAATCAAAAAGGGCCCAAAGTCAGTGGCATTTATTCAGCAGTGTGTGATCCACATAAAAGATAAGAATTTGTAGGGTGGAGTTTGTCCTCTCAGTTAGTAATGCAGTTGGAAGAAGCACTCATGTAAAAATGGTATACAACACAGAAATACATAAGGTTATAGGCATTTGCATATATATCTCTAGAATCCATGAGTTAACTCAACTGGAACCACCAGTGGTAACAACTGGAATGATCTCGGTTGCCAAACTGGTAATGAGAGACCAAATTAATTATAAGGGGACAAACTACTGGAGAGATAGCTTCCTTTATGCAAACTATTTATGAAGATGAATGTTTAGAAGAGTGATATTTGCTTTATGAATTTTGTTACCTATCTCCTTTGCAATATTTATTTTTTTATAAAAATGACAGCAGAGCAAAACAAATAAGAATTTAAGGACCATACTTCTGAGGGAAAGGAAGGTCAAAATTCCTTTATTGTACCTCAATACCCAGGTTGAATTACCTCTTTTGAATAAAGACCTTCTGAAGCTGCTTTCATTATTCTAGTCTTTCTGGGGCAGCTGTCAAATACTTGTTCAGGTTATTTTAGGTCTCACAAAGCCTGAACTGATGTGCCATAGATACCTTCCAGAATAGATTGCCAGTGGTCATCTGCAAAGGAGGCTTTCATAGCCTTTTGGGCATTCACATGAGACAAATAAAAGAGCCAGGATGTGTGAATTCTCATTGGGACTTAGTGTTCCTTTTCATTACTGATTAGAGAGATACTGAAAGTAATCTCATTACTTAAAATTAAGATGGCTTAATTTCTGGTTACTGTTGTGATGTAATTACTTCCCTTCACAAAACAATGAATTTGGTATTATTAGCCTCATTTTATGAAAGGAAAGACTGTAGCTGAGTGATTAAGAAATAATTTCTGATGCTTGGAGAATGAATTGACTTCAAAGTAACAATTTTTAATTTTGCTTTAGTTTCAGTATTCAATGAAAAAGAAAAATAAAACAACTATTAAAGAATGTTTGGTACCCTGGGGACCTTCTGTTCTCCTTATGTCTCATGTGATCAGTACCCTGCAAACTTTTTTTTTCCTTTTTTTTTTTGTAATACTGAATGCTTCAGATAATTATCTATAGTGAGGCAATCTCATGGCTGCTGCGATATTTAAGTAATATTTATGGCTTATTTCTTAAATGGAGGTTCCTTTGTCAGGGTAGAGAAAACAAGAGTAATGCCAAGGTGTAAACAGAAATATATGGATGTTGCCTATAAACAACAAATTATTATTCTCTAGTATCTTTTCTTGTCATGTAATTCACATGGAGAAAACACTCTTCTCTTTTTGACTACATCTTGGGGCCTGTTTTTCTAACATTGCTCCTACACACACACACAAAGTGGTAAGAGTTTCATTTGATAACCTTAAAAAATTAAGGAAATACGGTTTCTGAATACTAAGCATACGTAATCTGAACAGCACTGTAGTCTAAACTACAGTGTGAAGACAGACAGACAGAGAGACAGAGAAAGAAAGAAATGAGAGAAAGAAAAAGGAAAGAAAGAAAAAAGAAAACCTGGAGAAAAGAAGAAAAAAGAATATAACTAAGAGAAATGATATGTGTAATTATCATCAAGTTTCAAGATAAGGAAAGGCCAAAGTCTGACAGATTTGACCTATAAAGATAAGAGCCACTTTCAGTTATGAACATTTTATTATTTACACAATGGAGAAAAAAAAAACACAGAAAAAAAGTGCTCCCTTGTGGTCCTTGTCCTACACACCAAAAAGCATTCTATAACACAAAAGGTTACTGCCCCGTGAATTGTAGGATACCTCCATTAATTGTGGAGCCAAATCTAGACAGTGGCTAAATGGTTCTAAATCAGTAGCTCTATTCTAAGGGGAATGAAGCAGAAAGAACCAAAACTATCTCATGATATTCCACAAGGGAAGATAAGAAAGCAAGTGGGAGATGCCCTTTGCAGTTCTTCGCAGGCCACCCATCCTCTGGTGTCCATGGAGTATCACAAAATATGCTGTTGGGACTCGCAAAAGCCGTGGTTCCACTCTTTGCCTATGTGGCGACATAGCCAAAGTCTCTAGGATGCCATGGCAGGGCCATTGCTTCCCTGACAAGAATTGGGGTTGTGATGAAACTTACTTTAGTGATTGAGAGCTTATAAACTGAAAATGATCACCTATTACTTCCCTTGTATATATCAGATTTTGTTCATTTAATACTTATCGAACAGTGTATTGAGCACATACTTTGGACCAGGCAGTGTGCTTCATATTGGCAAAACAAAGATAAGGAAGACATTAAAGTGATGTGGAAGAAGGTGTGGAAACTCTAATAGTGCAATGACACAATTTTATACTGGGAGCAAAGGGCCACAAAGCAAGTAAATTCCTCCATGGAGGAAGGGCGCATGGTCAAGGCTGCATAGACTGTTTGAATCTTGAAAGATGCATTATTATTCTCTTGTTTGAAAAGAGAACTTGGAAAAAATGTCAGACAAGATTTACAAGTGCAAAAAAGACACATTGACATACATCAAATACTTCTAAGTAGCTCAATGTGACTGAAATTCAGGATGTTTGATGGGGAGGGACAGGGTGGACAGAGATAAGAGCTGGGTAAGAGGACATCAGGTTGGTGCTCAGTCCTGGTGGTCCTTGCATGGCCTCAGTTTTATTGTGAAAGCTTTAAAGAATTCTGAGAGATACTGACTAGGGGGGTGGCAGTGACATATTCTGCACATCCCTGGTCATGATGAGGAAAACACTAAGAGTTCAGAAAAGGTTACCTGGAGATTCAAAGATAAATTAGAAAATTTTTAGTGATGACAAAATGGAAATTATGAAAAATCTAGTTTTAAAAGGGAGGGACTACAGATGAAGTGTAAACCTCAGAAGAGGCAGTTTGGAAAATATTATAATTCATATGGAGAAAAACACTCTTCTCTTTTTGACGCCTACAGATTGGGGCTTGTTTTTCTAATATTGCTAGTGAAATTAACAGTTTAATTTACTTTTCCATTTATGAGACAAATGCTCATGTAACATAGTAGCACAGTGACCTTGTTTGCCTTTGGATTTAATTTACATTGACGGCCTATTTGCCTGTTTTTACAAAAATTGAATTAGGTCGTCCGTGTATAACACACAGTAAGTTTAATGAGGTTCAGACCTGTCTCCCAAAGCTACCACTATGTAAAAAGTATTTCACTTGGGAAATTAGAATCTCTGTTGCTACCTTCATTAATCTACAAGGGAAATTCGCTCTCCTTTGTATTACACATCTACAAGTGCAAACAGGATAATAAATAGTGATCTATCAGTTCCCAAAACAATTTACATTAAATCATTTATGATTGCTTCCCACTTCTATTTAGTTCACACGGAAGTGCTGAGCAAATGCCCATACAAATTAGAGCCCTCAGGGTCATTTTCACGAATACAAAGGCTTTTTGGTAACTATTTCACATAAACAGATGTGGAAGGATAGATCATGGAAAGGCAAGGAAAATAATCCTGGATGATTAATTACTAGGTAAAGGAAAAGCAAACATGACCGGCACAGCGAGTGAGAAAAGAACTCTTTAATAATGTTCCCTACTCTTATATCGCTTTATACATTTTAAGTTATTCTTAAAATATCTATGAAATTCTCATAAAGTTCCTGTAGAATAGCTCAGCCTAGGGTCTATGAGAGATTAAGAAATTTGCCTAAGCACAGTGCCTAAAGGAATGTACTTCTTTATAGGCTGTCAGTATTTATGTGTAATTAAAGCAACTGCACAGTGAAAGAGGTGTAAGTGGCTATTCTTTTACACAGAAGTAAAAGTCTAATTATAAAGAATTATACTCTACTAAAAAAAAAAAAAAAGAATTACATGGCACCCAGGTATATGAAATGGTAAGCTATTCTCTGAACCCAGGCATAGCTTACTGCCAAACTCTCTTACCCATGCAAGCCAGCAATAGATAGGTAATTAATCATGTTTGGGTAGGCCTGTCTGGAAAAGGCCTAGAAGACAACTGAGAAAGCTGGAAGCAATAGGCTGCGGGCAACTGGCGAAATCAGATGTGTTTGCATTTCTCTCTGTAACCCCATCTGCCTCCCTCCCTGGAGGTAAACAAGGGAAAGTATCTTCTTTGGCTAAAGCCTGTCCTTTCATAGCTTTTTCAAAGCAGAACCAGGCTATGAGCCATTTCAGCAAAATGCTGGTTAAGATTAGAAAGATTCAATCACACATGCCCAATATTTATGAAACACAGTGCCAAGTATCTTGTTTTCCATTATCTAATTTAGGATTTTCTCTGAAATACATTTTAAGTCCCTATTTTTTGGTAGAAAATGGAGATTCAACCAGTGTCCAAATTCACATAGTAGAAGCTGAAGTGGAAAAATTGCGACGTGGCCTCATATATCGAGACTTCAAGTGAGGTTAATTTTTCTGGAATACGTGTCTCTCACCCCCAATTAAAATCAAGAATGTGGACATGTGTGTTATGGTGAAATGTAAATACTATGATACAGGACTAGTGTTAGCAGACAAGCTACTACTAATGAGTATAAAATATTTGTATAGATTAGGCTGAAAAGTCTAAAATGAGTGCTGGGGCCTCACACAGTGCTGGTGTACTCCTACTATTGTTTCAGGCTGTGGCACTTTCACTAGCATTTTCACGTTAGGAAGAAGGAGTTTATGAACCAATGGAAACCACATGTGTTTCTTTTGACAGTGCATATGAGCTTGGATGTTTACCTCTTTGTGCCGGATGGTCACCCATCTTAATGAAAACAAAAAAATAGTTACTAAAAATCTGCAAAGTCCAAACATCTAACCTCATTTTAGACCTTTTGTCATTCCTTTTTCTTCTTCTGAAACGTTGGGTAGCTGCATCATCTTTTCTCCTCCACTTGGCAAAGCCTGTAGCCATTGGCTAACTCAGTCATGATGATATTTGTTTACTACGCATTGCTGATCTCATTAACATATGATTTCCCTATGGTGGAGGAGTGGCAAAGTCAAAGCTACCATTGCAAACTTTTACTCAAATCTTGCACCAAGTCAGTACAATTGAGCTGGGACTTTCAGTTGTCTATAATTATCTAAAATGAGACATAATAAGTCCTACTTCTATTTTCCCTGAGTCTACAATTGCTCATTGCAGTGCTTTGGAGTTCAGTGAAGATTTGTACGTAACTTATATAGTATAATTGGGAGACCGTACAAGTTTTTTTTTTTTTTTTTAATTTTAACTAACGTTTTCATCATTATTCTTGTTTTTCCTGCAAAGATCTTTCCAGCCTGAGCTCAATGCATTTCTTTTCACTTTATTGCTACTGATACCATTCCTTACATTCACAGTCTTGTCTTTGAAAGCACTTGTCTATTCTTAGCGGCTAGTTTTATGGATACAGGTGATACCAGCAATTCACAAGTAGATCACGTAATGCTTTGCTTCAATACACTTGCAAAGTGTTAATTCTACCATTATCCTGCTGAATTTCCTAGGTGTTTGGAAATGGTTCATTCTCCACACACATACCCTGCAGACTTGCCTTGTGTATTAGTCAAGATTCTCCAGAGAAACAGAACGAATAGGATATATAGATATGTAAGAGATTTATTATGGTATTGGCTTACATGATTATAGAGGCTGAGAAGTTCCATGATTTGCCATCCATAAGCTGGAGAACCAGAAGAGCTGGTGGAGTGGAGTAATTCAGTCTGAGTCCAAAGGCCTGACATAAGTCCTGAAGACAAAGGCTCAAGAACCAGGAGCTCCAATGGCCAGAAGCAGAGAAAATGGATGTTCTAGGCCAAGCAGAGAGAAAGAATTCCCCTTCCTTCACCTTTTTGTTCTATTCAGGCCCTCAATGGATTAGACGATGCCTGCCTGTGTTGGTGAGGGTGGGTGGATCTTTCTTACTCAGTGCATTGACTCAAATGCTAATCTCCTCCGGAAATACCTTAACAGACACACTCAGAAATAATGTTTTGCCAGCTATCTGGGTATCCCTTAGCTCAGTCAAGTTGGCATAACACCTTGCTTCAAGCTGTATCTTGGTGTCTTTTGGCAGCACTGATGGGGCCCAAATTTAAATCTCCACCCAGCGCTCTCTCCCCTGCTGATGTGACATGTTGCCTGTGCTGAATGCTGCCTTGGCCATGGTGGTATAACAGGCTCTCGCATTTTGGCTGTGGTGAATGATGGCTTCAGGATTTATTAGGTGCCCTTGGAACACTGGCTTGGGGGTCTATGCTATTAACATTATCTTCTGCCTTTTCCATAATTAAGATGCCACTGCCAGCAAGTTCATTGTCAAAGCATGAGTCTTTTCAGCCAAATTCTTCCTGTAGATCAAGCCAAGAGAAAACCCTGCCTCTCTTTAATTTTTGCTCAGGTCAATTTTTTTCTGCAGTGCTGGGAGAAAGGAAGCCACAAGCTTTCAAAATACTTCAGATATATACAGTTACCAATCTTTGACATGCAAAACTGTTAAAATCTCAGCTCTTACACCCTGGGGAAGTACTGTTAGACTGGAAGGCACAAATTCATTGAGAATTCACAATTCATTTCTTTGAAATGCCGAGAACAAGGCTGTTAATGCTCATGGTGCACAAAGGCAAGCCCTCCAAGGAGAATGGGGTGCAGGAACACTCAAAATGGAAGATGAGAGAGATGAACCATAAAGCATTATTTCAGCTTCAACGCAGGCAGAAAGATGCATACCCCATCATAATGTTCTACCTCAGTGCAAATAAACTTATCGTCACACTGTATTGCCTAAACAATTGCTGATTAATATTAATATTGGATATTTAAATGGAAATCTTCATTTTTTAGTTTCATAACTGTTGGGAAGAAAATGATACACACTTATTGTAAAAGATTCAAACAACATTAACAGCAAAAAGAAATAAACCAAAAGGCATATCCACATTCCTTCTATCAGAGATAATCATAGTTAACATTTCAGAGAACCTCCCTGTAGATATCTATTTATCTATATCTTTTTCTATGTATCTTTACTTCTCTCTCTGTACACACACACACACATAGATACACACACAATATTTTTAAATGATATTATACTTAATCATTATCAGGATAATGAAGGTTCTGAGATTTTACCCTCCTTAGCAAGAAAACAAGTTAGCCTGTTACAGTATCAGTGATATTAGTAGAAGAAACATTTTGTTTCAAGCATTCCAGCAGCTACAAGTCACTCAAACTTCTTAGTTTTGATCCGCCCAAACCAAAGTCACAGTATCCTCTTAGTTGACACCTCTTTTTTTTTTTTTTTTTTGCTGGAGGTTTCTTGACTCAACAGCTACAACCACTTTTCCCTTTAACTAGGGCTGCAGGACTTCCTGCACCATTGTCTTGATAGCATCCCTTCATTTGCCTGCCTGCCTGTAGCATCATTTGAATGGCTTGTTTCAGTTCCACCTCTACCTGCTCAACCTGTCAACATACCTTAACAGGTAGAACAGTGGGAGAACCTTCTTGCTAGTTTGTCCACTACTGGTGTAAGAGCACCGATTACCTGCCCCTGGGCAGTGTTCTTTTATCTCCTAACTTAGCCTATGGAGGCCTTTATTCTCTTTTTCAAGAAAGTTATGTATGTTTTACATCCCCTCTTTGCCTCCAAAATCTGTGAAAGGTCTTGAGCTTTTAGTTTATCTGCAAGCAACCAACTTATCCTGCCAGAATTATGTGGATGTTGGCAAAGACTCTTAAGTCAGAG